>NC_000006.12:7938787-8090303 GCF_000001405.40 Homo sapiens | reverse complement strand
ATTTGTTTTTTCTTTTTTCTAGGATCTTAATTCATATCTTGAAGATAAAGTCTACCTTACAGGGTATAACTTTACATTAGCAGATATACTATTGTACTATGGACTTCATCGCTTTATAGTGAGTATTTGTATAGTTACTGGCTTTTTTTCTGTAGTGTTGAGAATGATTTTTAAAACTTTGTCTTGAATTTAAATCAGATTTGCATTTTTGGCTTATCAAATAAAAATGAAAGGAATTCCTTTATACAAGGTGCCTTTTGTAACAAACCTGCACGTTGTGCACATGTACCCTAAAACTTAAAGTATAATAATAATAAAATTTAAAAAAACTTTGTCTTGAATTTAAATCAGATTTGCATTTTCAGCTTATCAGATAAAAATGAAAGGAATTCCTTTCAGTTGCTTCCTTTTCCTTGACCTTGATTTTTTTCCTATGCTTCTGCCCTTCTTCAGCAGTGACTTCTCCAGCCACACTTTAGGTTTTGTCATCATCCCCTGGGCCCCATATTCCTACCATTCCACCTCTAGATCTTAACTCCAGTACCCCATCTTCTGTGTAACCACTTGTGATGGTTAATACTGAGCGTCAACTTGATTGTATTGAAGACGCAAAGTATTAATCCTGGGTGTGTCTGTGACGGTGTTGCCAAAGGAGATTAACACTTGAGTCAGTGGGCTGGGGAAGGCAGACCCAACCTTAATCTGGGTGGGCACCATCTGATCAGCTGCCAGCAAACATAAAGCAGGCAGAAAAACATGAAAAGATTAGACTGGCTTAGCCTCCCAGCCTACGTCTTTCTCCCGTGCTGGATGCTTTCTGCCCTCAAACATCAGACTCCCAAGTTCTTCAGTTTTGGAACTCGGACTGGCTCTCCTTGCTCCTCAGCCTGAAGATGGCCTGTTGTGGGACCTTGTGATTGTGTGAGTTAATACTTAATAAACTCCCCTTTATATATTTATGTATTCCATTAATTCTGTCCCTCTAGAGAACCCTGACTAATACACCGCTTATCTTAGCTCTTTTGATCTCTTAGTGTCTAATTTCTGTCTGATGTAATTTGACTCCTCTTTTCCAAATCTGTATACTTTCTTCCCCACCCAACCTGACCCCCTTTTGTGTAACTTCAGCTACGTCCTCTTAGTATCTTCAGCTCCTTTGCTTTACCCTACAGTCACCACCCTTTCCCTGTAAGTTCCCGGCTCTTGGCCAGTCCAAATAAATGTCTTCATTCTTACATCCAAGATCCAAGCTGAGCTCTACTGGAGAAATTACAACACTGTAGATTACTGCCACTAAAAATGTTTACTATCCATTTGCAGCTGGGCTCTCATACTGGCTCAGTTCCTTTTTTTTTTTTCTCCCAGGGATACTTCCAAACCTTTACTTCCTTCCTTAAGCCCCTTCCTTCTCCCTCCTCCTTTATCTTTAGTCCTTATCACCGAGCCTTCCTCCATTATTCGGCTAGAAAAATGGAGGCTGTTCATCTGAATCCCTTCATCTTCCAGCCTGCCTGATTGTGCATCCTTGTCTTATCTTGTCTCCTTTTCCTGGTCTCAGCCTTGCCTTTTTCCTAGGCCAAACCATTTGTATTAGTCCATTTTCACGCTGCTGATAAAGACATACTTGAGACTGGGTAATATATATACAGGAAAAAGGGTTTAATGGACTTAACAGTGGCTGGGGAAGCCTCACAATCATGGTGGAAGGCAAGGAGGAGCAAGTCGGAGCAAGTCATGTCTTACATGGATGGCAGCAGGCAGAGAGGGCTTGTGCAGGGGAACTCCCACTTATAAAACCATCAGATCTCATGAGACTTATTCACTATCACAAGAACAGCACAGGGAAGACCTACCCCCATGATTCAATTACCTCCCACCAGGTTCCTCCTGTGACATGTGGGAATTGTGGAAGTTACATTTCAAAATGAGATGTGGGTGGGTACACAGCCAAACCATATCACCATTCATCTGGCCTCTTACCTGAATCTCCTCTCTGCCTCCTGCCCCTTTTCTGGATCTTGCTCCAGATTGTATTTCCTTTTTTTTCCTTCAATCTTGTCCACTACCTACATGATCAGTCTCTTTATTTTAAATTTGTTCATGAACGATGACATGATACTCACTATGTTCTTGGCACTGTTCTTCATGCTGTACAAATGTTGACTCATTTAATCCTAATAACAGCCATATAGGGTAGGCACTAATAATAGCCCCATTTTACAGATGAGATAACTGAGGCGTAGAGAGGTCAAGTGTTTTCTTTGAGATTGCCCAAGTAAGTGGTGGAACGAGGTCCAGAAACCAGACACTTTGGCCCCAGAATATGTGCTTTGTTATGACCATCTCTCTGCCTACAAGCTTGGCTCAACTCCCCATCACCCCAACACCCATCTTCCCCCTGTGGAAAAAAAAGAACTCATGTGTTTTTGTGCATTGTGCACCTCATGCATCCAGTCAATCAGATCCTGATTTCCAGCTCCTAAATGCCTCTCACATGTGTCTTTTCCTGTGATCCAATGACATTGCCCAAGTTCCAGTATTTAGAATCTTTTGTTCATCTAAAGAGGATGGACTGTAAGAGATGAGCTTGGTGGCCCCTGGAGCAGTCTTTCTCATGACCGTGTCTTTTTCTTTCTCAAAATAATCAACTCAGACAGGCACAGTAGCTCACCCCTGTAATCCCAGCACTTTGGGAGGCCAAGGCGGGCAGATCACTTGAGGTCAGGAGTTTGAGACCAGCCTGGCCAACATGGCGAAACCCCATCTCTACTAAAAATACAAAACTTAGCTGGGCGCGGTGGCTCACGCCTGTAATCCCAGCACTTTGGGAGGCCAAGGCAGGTGGATCACCTGAGGTCAGGAGTTCGAGACCAGCCTGGCCAACATGGTGAAACCCCATCTCTAGTAAAACTACAAAAATCAGCCAGGCGTGGTGGCGCATGCCTGAAATCCCAGCTACTCCAGAGGCTGAGGCAGGAGAATTGCTTGAACCCAGGAGGAAGAGGTTGCCCTGAGCAGAGATCGCACCAAGGCACTCCAGCTTGGGCGACAAGAGTGAAACCCTGTCTTAATTCATCTGACTCCTGCCTCCCTTGCTATCCTCCTTCCCGTCATTCTCTCAGCCACAACATGTGCCCCAGAGCCTGCTGTATGCTGGGCTGTTTCTACCCAGCATCCTTGCATTACTCTTCTCTTTTGTTCCCTGGTCCCAGCCCTTCCCTTCCTCTCCACTTCATTTGCATTTCCCAAGTATCTCTCGGTTCCCACTCATTCCTCGGCTGCATCTCTCTCAGGCGCCTAAACCACATTGAGGTGCTCCTTCCTCTGTGTGTGTTTGTACCTCATGTACACTTCGGGTCTAGCTCATTTCACTCTTACTGTAATTCTTTGAAAATCTCTCTAAATTATAAGCTGTTTGACTCAATGATTGTAGCGACACATATTTGTAACACCATTGTCTGAGGTAATTCCTGGCATGTGTAGGTGGTCACCCCTCCATAAACACTGAATAAATTTTTAAACGTATTTCTCTATGCTTTTCAAGGAGTTTCCTCTATACTTTCTCACTGTACCTCATCACTAAGAAGGAAATAGGACCAGTGTTATTGGCCTTCTTTTACAGAGAAAGAAACTAATGCTTAGGAAACTTGAGTGGTTTAAAGGCACGGCGCTCAGTTTTTGGAAGGGCCAAACTTTCAGATCTTCTGACTGAAGTGTCTTAATGTGTGGGGAAGCTCTTTGTCTTATAAACTGTAAAATACCGTAATAATTGAGGTCTGCGCAGGCCCCAACCTATCCATGGTTTGGGGCTGCTATCTGCCTCATAAAGCAAAGTGGAGGGTTTGTCTTTTGGAAAAACAAAGTCGTTTTCTCCTCTGAAAAAGCCTCCTACATAGTTGGTTTTGCCATTTGCCAAGAATAAGAGGGCACAGATTGAGGCCTCTTGAGTATGGGTTTTCAGTTGAGGTTGAAGAGAGAAGACAGGGATTGTAACCAGAAAATTCAGAATGGAATGCAGTTCCCTCCAGAACTCCTGGGCTTCATGACAGTCATAGAAGTGGATTCCTTTTAGTTTCCCCTCACCCCGCAAACGTACCGTAATAATGCAGGATACAGTTATTAGTTCCCTACTCAAGCTATAATCCCTCAGTTTGAATTTACTTGACTTTATTCTGAATTGTTCCTCAAAGATCCCTCAGTGATTATGTTAAATTCTGTAACATTATTGTAATGGCTTAGAATGATCCTTAATTTAATGTAAAACTATTATGAGTTTTAAATGATTTATTGAGAGCCCACTGTGTATGCCCACTATGCCATACTTGAGAGGGAGACAACAGAAGTATAAAACTATTTTCAGGGGCATATTAATCTTATTGAAGAAATTAGACTGTTTTACATGAAAGCAATTAATGAAGTAGAGAAAATGGAATCCAGTGCTAATCTCTGGTCAGAATATTATGTTATTAATGCATGAGGCAGATAAGTAGAATACAGAATCAGAAAATTGTCAGAAAAATATCTGAAGATTTGGATGGCCTTGGCTGTCTAAGGGAATTTTCATTGTTTTGGAAAGCTTATGATAAGTTTGATTACAAATATTCTTTGTAAATAGGGCGACCACATGATTTCTCATCCAAAACACTTGGCTGTGAAAGGAGGCCTATTAATAATTACATTGGGACAACAGGAGTGAAGTAGAATGAATATTCCCCATACTTACAAAGAATATGATTCAATTTACACAAAATAAGAGACCAAAGAGGATTTGTCTTATTTCTGTTCATCCCCTCTTGGCTTTTAAAACAGTGCCTTGTGCAGCTAAATGCTTATTGAGATTAGCAATATTAAGGCTGGGCATGATGGCTCATGCCTGTAATCCCAGCACTTTGGGAAGCTGAGGCAGGTAGATAGCTTGAGCCCAGGAGTTCAAGACCAGCCTAGGCAACAGGGCAAAACCCGTCTCTATTTAAAAAAAAAAAAAACCATTAACCAGGCGTGGTAGCTCTGTGACTGTAGTCCCAGCTACTTGGGGGAATGAGGTAGGAGGATCTTCTGAGCCCAGGGAGGTCAAGGCCACAGTGAGTCATGATTGCACCACTGCATTCCAGCCTGGGCAACAGAGTGAGACCTGTCTTAAAAAAATAAATAAAAGCAATATTTAACAACTGGTACCTATTTATAGTTCCTATTTCAGATTTTTTATCTCTGTAGTGAAAGTGTAATATAAGTAATGTTATTTAAATGTGGAGAAAGTTTATTGGAGCTGAAGTACATTGATTACCACCTTCTTTTATTCCATGCTAGGTTCAATATGTTTTAGTAGCTTTTCGAATTTAAAATGATCATGAGGCACAACTTACCTCATTTCAAAACAAAAAAAGCCTGCAAGGTAAAGAGGATTTGCTGCTAAGGTATCTAAGCATCTCTCTCCTGGTGGCAGCCTAAACACAGTCTTTGAACTTGAGGGAGTCTGTACTTCATTTTAGTGAGACTGTGCTGCTGTGAGCATGGCTACCCAACAGGGCTCCAAGAACAATTTCTATCTGAAAACCACAATAACAAACTTGTTGGCTTTTTACGAAATATATATTTAAATGTGACATATGGTTTGACATTTAACTTTTTAAGCTTTATATTAGGAAAAATATCATCAGTCGTCCTTTGTGATGACAGCCAGCAGGCTAGTGAACGTCTGTTCAGACCCACAAGATCTTGCTTGCTGTAGCATCGGGCTGTCATTAAGAAGGAGAGTATTTCTACATCTAATTAAAAATAAAAAAGATGATACTGAAGTGTAACTCATAAACCAAGTGTTTAATTAAATTTTCTTTTCCTCTAGCTTATGCAGGTTTTGCAGTAGGGAAAAGAAATACTCGGAAAAGGAGGGAACTTGTTTGGAATTCCTTTGCCAGCAGAATGAATAAGGTCATAATCCTATAGTGCAAAATATTCATAGCACTAGCTGCAAAGTTATTTAATTACGAGTCTAAGTGCACTGGAGGGTACTTGGTTTTTAGGCAGGTTAGAAGTGTTTCATTCAGTACAGCATGTTAAAGTTAGGGTTACATTAATAATATTTAGCATTCTGTATGTGTTTACATTTTGTATTTTGGAATGTATGTCATCTTCATATATAGTGACCAGGATGTTATGATTAAAGATATCCTTATCTTTTTCAAAGTGAAATTGAATAGATTAATATGTAAATCACTGTTGACCATCCTTTTGGGTTCCTATCATGAGTCAAAGTATCTCTCCCACTCTAGTCCAAGTGCAGGCAAAGTAATCAGAGAAATAAACACCTTCTCAAGGAACAGGCCTCACAGACTAAAACCTACACAATGGCAGAATTGCACTGTGGTGTTAAATGACATTCCAGTTAAGTTGGGTACAAATACATACAGATGTGGAATAAATGATTTCTAGGTGTTAAGGTAGGGTGGGTGTGAGGTGCAGATTGGCCACCTGCTGATATTTACCAGGTCTTCGTGCTTTGTTTGCTTTGGCAATATTATTTATTTTTGTCCTCGTGCATTCCTTAATTTGTTTGTTCACGTTATTCAATACGGAATATGTAATCAGCACAGTGTACAAAACAGCAGTCAAGGAACCTTCGAGTCATCAGATAATTCCACTGTATTTTGTTTCATTGTGAGCCCAATTTTAGTCATGGCTGAGTTATTCTAAGATCTGGTCTATCTTAACTCCGTTTGAGGAATATTATGTTGCCTTTCCTTTGTTATACTGCCTGTTAGTGTGGCTGTTTATTATAACACCAGTGACTCACTGCTTTCTTAAAGTGATTTCACTAGGAGATAGTCATCCCTGTGAACAGACTGTTACTCAAGATTATTAAAATCCTTTGTAATATTATGTGCTGCTTGACTGTAAGATTGCTATCAACTGAAATACTTTTGTTCTGAAGTTTGGAGCACCATTGGAGGCATGTGGTTCTTTTATAAGGAAAGGAAAAATAAAAGAATTAACTGCAAAATAGTCCAGGAGCACTGGCCCTAAAGAATGTCCCAAAGGCGGCAACGTGGTGCCAGTTGGAAAGGTAGCAAAGCAGCGTGTCACCCTGATCCGGAACGGTTCACTTAAAGTGTTTCTCACATGACTTCATGGAAAATTAGTGATTCAGAATATTATCTGCTTGGCTTTAAAGTTCAAAGTCATGATAGAGTGCCAATATAAATTAAAAGGAATTATTAGGCAGAAAGAGCCAAGCACCACTATAGACACACTGGCATGCAGATCAACATGAAGCAGGAAATGGCAACTAGAACAATTGCATTGTTTCCTGTTGTAAGAAAGGAAAAAGAACTTGAGCTAGAAAGGGATGGTGGAAAACCAGTGTTGTAAGTGAAATAGTCTGGGAGATCCCATCAGAAATGTTTTTAAAATCTGTAAATTTGGTGAGGGGAGAAATCTGTTCATTTCTTTGTTTACAGTAAGTTTATATAGGGAATGTCTTCCAAAAAAGTAGCAGAGTTAACAAGTCAAGGTCATTCATAATTATCTCAGACTCAAAGGGACAAGTTCCAAAGTTTAAACTGTAAAAAGAGGTGAAAGTGGTAACCGTAACCTCATCCTTTTTGAAAAACTCTGTGAGTTTCTGGCAAAAGTTTCCTGAGGGAAAAATGAATAAATGTACATTCTTAAAATAGATCATCTAAAAATATTGTCAAATGGATCATCTAGTTAAAAATTATTAGAATAGGGGGTTGGGTGCAGTGGCTCATGCCTGTAATCCAGGCACTTTGGGAGACCGAGGCTGGTGGATCACTTGAGGCCAGGAGTTCGAGACCAGCCTGGCCAACATGGCAAAACCACGTCTCTACTAAAAGTACAAAAAATTAGCCAGGTGTGGTGGTATGTGACTGTAGTCCCAGCTACTCAGGAGGCTGAGGCAGGAGAATCGCTTGAACCCAGGAAGTGGAGGTTGCAGTGAGCCCAGATCGCGCCACTGCCCTCCAGTCTGGGCAACAGAGTAAGACTCTGTCTCAAAAAATAATAATAATAAATAAATCATTGGAATAAATTAGGAATTTTTAGAAGCTTTAGGAGCTCTTGGAATAAAAACTATTTTTTACTGTGAGTCTGTTGATAATCCTGACTCTAGAGACTCCAAATGTAAAATGTTTAAGTTGGAGAATATTTATTTTGCTGTGTTCTGTATGTTAGTATTTCTTTAAATAATAGGCCTGTAAGCAACTTATACTAGTCCTCAGTGACACCAAATGCTGTTCTGAAATACAAATATCACACATAACATTGCCCTTTTTACCTAGTTTAAAATCTGGGTGAACAACTTGAACATAAACAAGCATTAGTACTCTATTGTTTGGAAATGCTTTACCAAATGGCTGAGTGGAGAATTATCTGAAATGAAAGAGCGATGAAAGGACTAAAATGGTAAGAAAGAGGTCAGATTTGAATCATCATATATTTCAGCAGCTGACATGAAATCAAGTTGGAGTAAAACTTATTGTTACATCTGTTTGCTTTAACTATCAGCAAAGAGATTTGTCGAAGTTGATTTTGAATTTTATTCATTCATTTATTCATTTTTGGTAAGAAAGCTCCCATTTCTTGTTAGATTTGCAGCTCTTTTTATTACTGGTTGAGCTTTTAATAAATCGTACATTTTCTTTTGAAGTCCTTGCTGAGGTTTATATATGGTAAAGATTTAGAAAAAGAACAAAATGCTCTTTTACAAAATATTTTTCAAAATATTTTTGAAATATAGACTGATGCTCAGTTTATTCCACAGATTAAGTGCTGCCTATGAAAACACACCTGACAGGTAGATGCTCCTTTCAGTTTGAATCTACCAGTTAGCCTAATGTAATTCTTTCATGTGAAACCATGAATTTTCATAATAAAAATTAAACTTTTACGTTAAAAAAGACATACTTGACCAGTTTTCTTGACTGATGTGTTATTTATCTCTGTGCCATGGACTGACTATGTTATAGGTGAGACAGTTGTAGTAACATCTTTCTAAGTAGACACAACCTTAAACAAGATGAATATGTTTTTATAATGTGCTAGAGCAGCTTGTGTGTAGGACTTAAGTATGTATCACTAAAACCTGAAACTTAAATTTTTCTGAAACAGAAGCAGTGAAGATTCTCCCTGGTAACAACTTAAGTAAATCAAGCCAACAAATACGAGTCCAAATAAACATTTAATGAGAAAATACTGCCTACTTTTTAATTTTATTGTTAATATCCTTTTGTATTCTGTAATAATTACTGCATGTGGAGTGATTTATCCTTCACCTTTGGTGATCTGGTAACTTAGCAGAATGCTTGTCTGCAGAACAGGTATGTGCTAAATGCTGAAAAGCAAAGGACATTCATCTCACTAAAAATGTCTCCCAACAAGCAGGCTGCTGGGGGGTTTGTAGCGCTTGTAGGGTGGCTGAGTTATTTCTTTCTGCAAACACTCCTGTCAGCATTATAGAGACTTGCACTATCTGTTAAGTAAATGTGACTTAGGAGAAGGAACGACACCACCCATTCATGGGGTCATGGCTGCAAGTTACTGCCCTACTGGTTTTCTCTTTACCTGATAACTCTCAATAATTCTAAAGTTTATCTTAGAGAAAAGTCTTTGAGTCACCTATTTTGGAATTTGAGCCCAGTGAAATGATAAGCACCTGCAGTTTGTATCACGTCTCTCTCTAACCAAATCTCTGAGCATTCTTGTAGCTTGATAGCAAATTGGGTGAACTGCTCCATTCACTAAAAGATTGAGTTCAGCTTTATTGCAAACAGAATTATGAAGGTCTGTTCTCATGCATTTACTCAGCCTCCTTCATCTGAGTCACACACCACTGGAAGTAGCCCCTCCTTATATTAAGCAATATTGACTTGAAATGGATCATTTCCTTTTTTTAGGTTTACTAAAGAATACCAGAGAAAGAACTGTATCTTAATCTATCTTCCTTTCCAATGAAGTAAAAAACAAATTATTTGACCTCCAAATCCTCAGTTAATGTAAATTTTGCATTTGTTGAAAACTTGGTATTTCGCAGGAAGGACATCAGGTTTTGTACTGAACATAACATTGAACACGAAGAACCTTTATAAGTCAGTGTTCACTGGGCTGAAACTTTTACTCCTATCTGAATATGTTGGCTTTTGAGAGCTCTTGGGGGATTGATGTTGTTGTTTTTCAACTTCTATCTCCTACTTAAGTGATATTAACAGTTGTGCTTATGTAACATCTGTGTTGTGTGTGTATGTTTTTAATCTCTACTTAGGTTGACCTGACAGTTCAAGAAAAGGAGAAATATCTTAATGTGTCTCGCTGGTTTTGTCACATTCAGCATTATCCAGGCATCAGGCAACATCTGTCTAGTGTTGTCTTCATCAAGAACAGACTATATACTAATTCCCACTAGAAGCTGTCCATGCCATACAGAAGATCTATTAAAAATGTTTTAAATGGAAAATGTACTCTAGACCACAGGACTAATGTAAATTAATATACAGTCATTCATTATTTGTTGAAGTTGATAGAATTTTTGAAGTGTAAACTTGTGTCTGAATGTTTTATTTGTTCTTTAGCTGAAGTTTTGCAATTTTTATGTCAAAATTCAATTGCTATTAAACAAGTTGAGATCCAGTTATAAATTAACCTTGTTTTTAGTAGATGACATTTATTTCAATAAAAGTTGCAAATCGGGCTTAATCTTAAAATTGGTGGTCATTTCAATGGTTGACATATTTGGCTATTTATTAACCTCTCTTTCATATTCTAAAATTCATTTTCCCCTTATGGATATTTATGGTAGTTTGTTAAGAACTGATAAATTGTGCCAAGGAAGCCAAAAGGGAAGACAGATGGATTTGTTTTAAAATATTTATGTGAGCTAGTAAATGTGGTTGAAAAAATATTTTTTCGTTGTTTCTTTCTTTCTGTAGTCAGTACTCATTGGGGTGAAACTAACTACTGAACTGCCCTACGGGAAACTGGAGTAAGATACATTCCTCTTGAGTTAATGATTCTTTTTTGTTGTTGGGCTTATTGTAATATGCAGTGGCCAAAAAGAGATGGGAAATTCTTCCTCCTGTAAGGAGGAAAATAAAAAAGAGATGGGAAAGTCTTACTGTCCCACTAATTTTGAATTTTTAATTACTAGATTTTTTTAAACTGAAAGCCAACTCTCATGGAAAGACTACTGTTAAAGTGCTGTGTGAAGAACAGAGGCACTTTATTAAAAGATCTGTATATTTTATAACTTGCTGGTTGAATAAATAATAGTTATCATAGAGCTAAAGACCTTATCTTTACAAATAATGAGAAAAATGGGGTCTTCGGGGGCTTTCCCGTTTAATGCTACTTAATGTTTTGGTGTTGATGCTGAGTCTGACCAGTGGACCCTTCAAAGTTCTAGCAGAACTTTAAACAAAGCAGTCAATCATATTTTCTTACTTTCTAAAAATAAAAAGATAATGCTAAATTAGGATTAAAGTAGACAACATGAAGAAAAAAGCCTAGTATGTAGCTCTTGGCAATCAGTAAGGTTAGTTTCCTTTCTCTTCTCCAGGCAAATCATGATTGTTTTGTTTATAAGAAAATGAGGATTGTAACAGGCCCCCATGTTTGTCTCTGAAGTGACTGAGTCAGGAGACTTCACAGGCCAGGTGTGTGGGCACAGGCATGCCTCATTTTACTGCATCTTCATCTTCAACACATGGAAGGTTTGTGGCAACCCTGCTTCGAGCGAGACTATTGGCACCATTTTTCCGTCGGCTTGTGCTTGCTTCATGTCTCTGTGTCACATTTTGGTAATTCTCACATTATTTTGAATTTTTTTCATTACTCTCTCTGTTAACTGATCTGTGTCCCGTGATCTTTGTTACTATTGTTATTATTTTTGGGGTGCCACAAGCCATGCCCATATAAGACTTCAGACTTAATAAATGTTGTGTGTGTTCTGACTGCTCCACTGACCAGCCGTTCCCCTTCTTTCCTTTTCCTTGGGCTTCCCTCTTCCTCGAGACACAAGAGTATTGAAATTAGGCCACTTAATAACCTTACAGTAGCCCCTAAGTGCTCAGGTGAAAGGAGGAGTTGCACATCTCTCTCTAGAAATGATTAAGCTTCTTGAGGAATGCATGTCAAAACCAAAACAGGCTGAAAGCTAGGCCTCTTGCACCAAACAGCCAACTTGAATGCAAAGGAAAAGTTTTAAGGAAATTAAAAGTGCTGGCTGGGTGTGGTGGCTCATGCCTATAATCCCAGCACTTTGAGATGTGGAGGTAAATGGATCACTTGAGCCCAAGAGTTCAAGACCAGCTTGGGAAACATGACAAAGCCCCGTCTCTACAAAAATTAGGCATGGTGGAGTGCCTGTAGTCCCAGCTACTTGGGAGGCTGAGGTGGGAGGATCACCTGAGCCTGGGAGGTTGAGGTTGCAGTGAGCCGTGATTGTGCCACTGCACTCCAGCCTGGGCAACAGAGTGAGCCCCTGTCTCAAAATAAATCAATAAATAAAAGTGCTACTCCAGTGAACACACAGATGATAGGAAAGCGAAACAGCCTTATTGCTGGTAGGGAGAAAGTTTGAGTGGTCTGGATAGAAGATGAAACCAGCCACAACATTCTCTTAATCCAGGGGAAGACCCTAACTCTCTTCGATTCTATGAAGGTTGAGAAAGGTGAGGAAACTGCAGAAGAAAGGTTTGAAACCAAGCCAGCAGAGATTGGTTCATGAGATTTGAGGAAAGACACCATCTCCATAACACAAGTGCAAGGTGAAGCAGCAAGTGCTAACGTAGACTGCAAGATCTAGCTAAGATCATGGGTGAAGGTGGCTACACTAAACAACAGATTTTCAGTGTATATGAAACAGCCTATTAACAGAAGATGCCACCTAGGACTTCCATGGCTCGAGAGAAGTCAGTGCCTGGCTTCAGAGCTTCAAAGGACCAACTGACTTTCTTATTAAATATGGGGCTAATGCAGCTGGTGACTTGAAGTTGAAGCCAGTGCTCATGTACCATTCCAAAAATCCTAGGGCCCTTGAGAATTATGCTAAATCTTGCCAGGGGCAGTGACTCATGCTTGTAATCCCAGCACTTTGGGAGGCCAAGGCGGGCGGATCACGAGGTCAGGAGATCGAGACAATCCTGGCTAACACGGTGAAACCCCATCTCTACTAGAAATACAGAAAATTAGCTGGGTGTGGTGGCGGGCGCCTGTAGTCCCAGCTACTCGGGAAGCTGAGGCAGGAGAATGGCGTGAACCCGGGAGGCGGAGCTTGCAGTGAGCCGAGATCGCTGCCACTGCACTCCAGCCTGGGCGACAGCGCGAGACTCCATCTCAAAAAAAAAAAAACAAAAACAAAAACAAAAAAAATCATGCTACATCTACTCTGTCTGTGCTTTATAAAAGGAACAACAAAGCCTGGGTGACAGCACATCTGTTTACAGTATGGTTTACTGAAGCCGACTGTTGAGACCTACTGCTCAGAAAAAAGCCTCCTTTCAAAATATTACTGCTCAATGACAATACACCTGGTTACCCTTAGAGCTCTGATGGAGATAAAAAGGAGATAAATACAGTGTTTTCATGCCTGCTAACACAACATTCATTCTACAGCCCATGGATTAAGGAATAATTTCAACTTTCAAGTCTTACTACTTAAGAAATATATTTTGTAGGCCGGGCGTGGTGGCTCATGCCTGTAATCCCAGCACTTTGGGAGGCCGAGGCGGGCAGATCACGAGGTCAGGAGATTTAGACCATCCTGGCTAACACGGTGAAACCCCGTCTGTACTAAAAATACAAAAAATTAGCCGGGCGTGGTGGTGGGCGCCTGTAGTCCCAGCTACTCCAGAGGCTGAGACAGGAGAATAGCATGAACCCGGGAGGCGGAGCTTGCAGTGAGCCGAGATCAAGCCACTGCACTCCAGCCTGGGCAACGGAGCGAGACTCCCTCTCAAAGAAAGAAATTGAGACAGAGAGAAAGAAAGAAATACATTTTGTAAGGCTATAGCTGCCATAGATAGTGATTTCTCTGATGGAGTAGGCAAAGTAAATTGAAAACCTGGAAAGCATTTCAGCATTCTAGATGCCATTAGGAACATTTGTGATTCACGGGAAGAGGTCAAAATATAACATTAACAGCACTTTGGAAGAAGTTGGTTTCAACTCTAAAGGATGACTTTGAGGGAGTTCAAGACTTAAGTGGAGGAAACAACTACGGATGTGGTGGAAATAACAAGAGAAGTAAAATTAGAAGCAGAGCCTGAAGATGGTACTGAATTGCCGCAGTCTTGATAAAACTTCAACATATGAGGAGTTGCTTTTTATGGGTGAACAAAGAAAGTGGTTTCTTAAGGTGGACTTTATTCCTAGTGATGATGCTGTGAACACTGTAGAGATGAGAACAAAGGATTTAGACTATTACATAAGCTTAGTTGACAAAGCAGCTGCAGGGTTGGAGAGGATTGACTTCAATTTTGAAAGAAGTTCTACTTTGGTTGAAATGCCATCAAATAGCATTGCATGCTACAGAGAAATGTCTTTTGAAAGGAAGAGTCGATTAATGTGGCAAACTTTATTGTTGTCTTAAGAGATTGACACAGCCACCCCAACCTCCAGCAACCACCACCCTGATCAATGAGGAGCCATTGACATGGAGGCAAAACCCTCCACCAGCAAGAAGATTGACTTCCTAAAGGTCCAGATGATCATTAATGCTGTTTTTAGCAATAAAATTTTTTTTAGTTAAGGTGCATACATTGTGGTTTTAGACATAATGCTGTTGTACACCGAATAGACTCCAGTAGAGTATAAACGTAACTTTTCTATGGACAGGGGAACTGAAAAATTTGTGCAACTCACTTTGTTGTCATACTTTATTGTGGTGGTCTAGAAAGGAACCCACACTCTTTCACATCTTCCTGTATATTATAACAGATCAAGACAGTTTTTACGTGATGTATTTCACAATTCATTGCCCTCAGGAGTATTTTTAGTTTTGTGACATGGTCTTTAAATTAAAAACTGTAAATTTGTATTTGTATGTTCGGAGACTACAGGGTTCAAATTAATTATGGGAGTTGTTATGTGTCTTACAGGGGTAGGTCAAGTCTGTGTACCTTTCATGCTAACCACTCGGTCTGCTATAAGCATGCCACATCATGATTCACTGCTGCAAATTACACCTAGCCCCAACACTTCTGTCTTCTCCCCCCATTCAGCAGGAGGATTGAAGCAGGACAGATAGAGGCAACAGGAAATAGGCCACCAAGCATTCTCATCCCAACTATTTCACTCTTTTCCTTCATTTTAGGTCAGCAGTGAGGAAAGAGCGGGAGGCCAGAGAGGGAAACCACCTCTTTGTCAAGCGACCCCTCTTCCCGCTTCTTCCTGTGTCTTACTCCTCTGAATCCCTCAGTCAGCTAGGCAATTCTTTATTGTGCACAACATTGATGGAACAGGTATTACTTGGTACCACCAAGTACCAGGACTTCTCGCAACTAACTTAGATCTTGGAGGATGAAGGGATGGTCGAAAGATGAAGACCTGGCTTCTGCAGCCAAGTGTTAGATCATATTCTCAGCATCCAGATCAAAACAATTCATTTCCTTGTAGAATTTCTACTGTGCTTCTTGGGTCATTTCTGTCAGGCACTTGCCTGAAATGCCCTTTCCTTCTCACTTGGTAACCTCTTCAGTATTCTGCTTTGTCAATGTCCTCATGGAAGTCAAGTCTGTCCCACCCCTGGCCCCTGATTCTGGCACTGGCATCATTGTACTGTTTTTGATTATCTGTTTCTTCCGCCGGGCTTAGTAATTTCTTGAGAGCAGAGACTATATTTTCCCTTGCTTATCCAGCCCTCAGAACAATCATTGGCACACCACAGTCGGTGCTCAATCTGGTAAAAGAATGTACTGAGCTGACTGAGCTCAGTACATTCCTTTTGAGCTGACTGAGAAAAGTATAAGTGTAAATTACACGTATATGTTATCAGTACAGCTGTATATTGCAGAAAGGCCCAGTAACATCAGGGTGGGTTGTTTTTTTCTCATGTAAAAGAAGTTAGGAAATTAGCCCACCTTTGGTGTGAAGCATCCAGCTCCTGTTTTTGCTACTCCATGCTGAACGAGTGGTTTCCATTCTTAAGTTCAACGTATGGTCCAGTATTAACGTCAGAACTCCAGACATCAAGTCTGATTAAGACCCAAAGAAACAGCAAGAGGGGGACAGCAAAAGGCTTCTCTCCCAACCTTATCAATTCCCCTGAAGGGCCTTTCCTGGAAGCCCTGTTTGGCTGTATTGATTTACAATTTTGGCCACTCCAGCTGGGAGGAGGCCAGATGTGTAGTCGGAGGGCACCCAGAATAAAGCTCTGCTCTGTCAATGAGAAAAGAAGGAAAAGGGATACTGCATAGGCAACCAGCTATCTCTGTCACAGTGAGTAATGCTTAAATGGGAAAATGCCTTCTGAGTGCCAAATGATCAATTGTATAAGATATTTTGTTAATACATTGCTGACATCACATGGATCATCAATTTGCAAAGAATTGGGATATAATACAATTTCCACTGACCACATTTCACTGACAATTTAATTTTCATGATTCAGAGCTAATTTTACGATTCTGTAGTATTCAGTTATGAAGATCTGTTAATACTTTTTAAAATATCTGTTAAAACTTTTAATAACAACAATAATAGATAACATTTATTGAGCATTTAGTGTGTATCAGGCACTATTCTAAGTGCTTTAAGTGAATTAACTCCTTTTTTATCCCCTTTTGCAGATAAGGAAGCTGAGGCACACAGAGGTAGGGAACTAACCCAACATCATACAAGGAACTGAGATCAAGGAACTGAGATTCAAACACAAATGTCTGGCTCAAACTTACCTGTAAACTACTCTACATGGAGTGCCATAAAATTCTGCTTAATTAACTTGTGGAATCAGTTTTTACCAACCTAGAAAAAACCTGCCCTAGGTATTAGATAAAATAAATGGGTACATAATTTTAAGAATAAATGAGATGGTTGCACCACTCTGGGAATATACGGAAAACTTCTAACTTGTACACTTCAAATGGTGAATGTTGTAATATGTGAATTACAGCATTAAATCATTTGGGGGTGGGGAAGCAGTGGAGTCGAGCACACCAGCCTCATCATGTATTAATTATGAGACCTTGCTCAAGTCACTGCACATGGAATTCCTCATATGAAATAGGGGTAAAGACAACTGATCTCATTTAATTTGCAGTGGGAATATATAAAAATTACTCAGCACTGTGCCTAATATGTAGAAAGTTATGAGTAAAGGTCAAACTGCTATGGAAGATTGTAAAATCATAAAGCCAAATTATTAAGACTTTTCCTACCTGCCAATCATCCCTGAGGTACCAACTTGCTCAACATGTGAGCCTGAGATAAAAATGGTGGCAGAGCATCCTGGGATTTTGATAAAACATGAATTTACATTACTTACCAGTTTAAAAGTCTCTCATGCCTGTAATCCCAGCACTTTGGGAGGATGAGGCAGATGAATCACAAGGTCAGGTGTTCAAGACCAGCCTGGCCAACATGGTGAAACCCCATCTCTACTAAAAATACAAAAAATTAGCTGGGCATAGTGGCAGGCACCTGTAATTGCAGCTACTTGGGAGGCTGAGGCAGGAGAATTACTTGAACCCAGGAGGCGGAGGTTGCACTGAGCTGAGGTCGCGCCACTGTACTCCAACCCTGGTGAAAGTGCAAGACTCCATCTCAAAAAAAAAAAAAAAAAAAAGTCTCTGGTTCTCACACTTTTCAAGCTGTTGGAAAAAAGGACCATGCTGTCTTTCTTATTTTGTTTCTAATAGATCAATGAGCCAGGTGTGGTGGCTCACACCTGTAATCCCAGTGCTTTGGGAGGCTGAAGCAAGAGGATCACTTGAGCCCAGGATTTGAGATTACAGTGAGCTATGATTGTGTCACTGGATCCCAGCCTGGGCAACAGAGTGAGACCCTGTCTCTTAAAAACAAAGATTGATTAGCTGGGCACGGTGGCTCACGCCTGTAATCCCAGCACTTTGGGAGGCCGAGGCGGGCAGATCACGAGGTCAGGAGATTGAGACCATCCTGGCTTACACGGTGAAACCCCGTCTCTACTAAAAATACAAAAATATTAGCCGGGTGTGGTGGCAGGTGCCTGTAGTCCCAGCTACTCAGGAGGCTGAGGCAGGAGAATGGTGTGAACCCGGGAGGCGGAGCTTGCAGTCAGCTGAGATCCCCCCACTGCACTCCAGCCTGGGCGACAGAGCGAGACTCCGTCTCAAAAAAAAAAAAAAAAAAAAAAACAAAGATTGATGCGACCTGTCTAGAAGAGAGTGCAGCTATCTTTGTGAATGCTCTTCCTTCTGAAAAGTGAAAGCCCCTTTCCAAGGATTTTCTTTCTGTAATTCCGAGAAGCCTACAGCACTGACCAGTCAATGATAATCTAAATATTATTTAGGTCATACTGTGTAACAGAACTCTGCTAGGCCCTGCAGATAACGCAGTCACGTCCCTGCCCTCATAAAGTTTACAATCCAATGGTCTGTGAACACATTCCTGAAACGGTATATAGAGCACTCTTTGGGAGGCTGCCAGCCACTCAGCATTGTTTGAAAGTAAATAATTAGATATCATTTACTGAGTATTTAATATGTTCTGAGCTCTGTATGGGAATTTTACAACATTAATATGATCTCATGTTAATTTAGGAGCTAGAGAGGAGGCAGAGACTAACCCACATGCTAACCACCACCTTGGTTAGACCATGACTGAAGTGGGAACTGTATGATTTCAGGGTTAGAAGACCATCTGTTGCCATGTTCACTGGATTTGATTCAACTCCCCTGATTAGACACATGTCCCTATTCCATGTGAAACTTTTAGGAACAGACCAAAAATTCCAAGTAGGGAAGAATCACTCTTCAGTCAAACGTCTGTGAGCTTTTTCATTAATTAGAATAAAAACGAGTTTTAAAACAAATAGAAATTATAGAATGGGAACAATGTCAAACAACCACAGCCATGCTTATACCCAAGCATCCAAGAGATCATGAAGTATTTTGTGTAGTTCTGCAGTTGTGAGTCTCTTCCCAAGCAATGACTATCACAATATGGTAGAAAAGGTGACATAGCTCCAAGAATGACATAATCATCCATCCATGACCCGACTTCCCAGTTAAACACCCCATCTCCCACCCCCAGTTCAGCAAAAAGATTATTCACTAAGGCTTTTAGCAGATATATAGGAATTCTCATGGTTACTCCCAGTTACACCTAAAATTAAGATGGCCAGATATGTAGTAGTTTATTTGCTAGCAGTACTGGTAAACTCCCACTTACCCCACCCAATTATACCTGAGCCCACGGTTAACCACAGTCAGTAATAGGCACATTAGATCTCCCACAGGGATGAAGAAGGCAGGAAGGGAGGAGTGGAATGAATGTGAACGATCATCCACTGCCAGCGCATCATACTGTCAGTGCCCCCTTAAAAATGTAATTCGTGGCCAGGCGCGGTGGCTCACGCCTGTAATCCCAGCACTTCAGGAAGCCAAAGTGGGCAGAGCACCTGAGGTCGGGAGTTCACAACCAGCCTGATCAACGTGAAGAAACCTTGTCTCTAGCAAAAATACAAAATTAGCCAGGTGTGGTGGTGCATGTGTGTAATCCCAGCTATTCGGGAGGCTGAGGCAGGAGAATCGCTTGAACCCAGGAGGCAGAGGTTGCAGTGAGCCGAGATCGCACCACTGCACTCCAGCCTGGGGAACAAGAGCAAAACTCCGACTCAAAAAAAAAAAAATGTAATTCATGAGAGCCCTGCTGAAATTCCATTCAGAATAGCAAGTCTGCCCAGAATAGCTTCAAGATATGTTGATAAAAATTTAAGCGGTTATATTGTTACGACGGAATAGAGCTCTATTATAATCAGGTACATGTACATCACACCCAAAGATAAAATACACTATTTGACAAGTGGTCAAATTAGAATTATTGTGAACTACAGCTTTTTCATTTATATTTTTTTCTAACATTTGACTTAATTCCTTTTTAAAAAGTCAGATGTTGCATGAACTTTAATATGAATCTAGCTTTGGCAGGGCTGTGGTAGTTTAATGGATTAGAGCATTTAGCTTTTTACCCCAGAGAGCAGTATTTCTTCTTTCTCTGTATAATTAGATAATCTGCTACTGCCCATTACCAGGGCACTAAATTTCAAATTCTCCATACACCTGAGCAGGCTGCTACATATCTGGCCATCTTAATTTTAGTCTTGATTTATTGAAGTGGAATTACATTCCTAACTCTTCCTGGAGCACTGGGTGAATTTTATTGCAAAAGCAATGGGGAGAAAGTTACCGTCATATATCTCTCTTGCTGGGCAGAGCTTTTAGATACACAAGGGGCTCCACATCCCACTGCTCTGTGTCTTGTATGCTGGATTTATAACACCGTGAAGCCCAGCTCTAGGGTTACACAGAGGCATATCAGAGATGAGATGAGGAATTTGATTCTGCAATAATGATTACTTGTTGCTGGCGCCCACATTCCTGCAGGCTTTGCCTTTATTCCCAATACTGCTAGCAAATAAAACTAATTCCAACTGCTACCTAATCTAGCAAAACTCATCTTTCACTTAAGGAAGGGAGGCCAAAAGAAGGTAGGCAGGAAGGCAGGAGAATTTGAGATGCTGGCCATTTTTTTGCTGTTATCTCAAGGATTTCTGCTTCCATTATCATGATTCCTTTAGGAATATTTTAATCTTTTAAACTTTTGTTTCTTTGGGGGTAATGAAAGCATTGCATCTTTTCCAGCACAGTGAGTTAATTTAATGGCTCATTCGTGCTGTCTCTTCCACTTCAAAGAGGCCAGGTCCCTAGGGCTAGCCAATTGTATTATGGCTCCTGCAGATTTGGCTTGCCATTCCTGCTGGGTGTCATCTGTCCTCGAAGTCTTGCAGTGGATAATTTTTGTTCTCCCCACCTTCATCTGCTTGAGAAATTTGTGCCTCGCAGGCCTGTCTGTCCAAGTTAAGCTTGAAATACAGTAGCCATACGACCAATTTGACAAGGCATAGCTCTAAACAATAAGGCCACAGGCTTGCTTTGAGCAAGATGAGAAACTTCCAGCCACCTGATTACAAATTCCAAAGCTTCTTTGGTGCAGTCGATAAACTAGTCTGTTCATGTAATGTAAGTTCTCCTTCTCCCCCATCCCCATTTTTCCTGACCTTCTGCAACACACATACCTTGTCATAAAAACCCTTAGAAGTTTTAAACTCTTTGACCTCATGAAGTTTCCAGTTCCTGACCATTTTCACCATTTGGTTTGAACCCTGTCACTTGGATAAAAGAACTCTATCATTGACTCTCATTATCAGATGCTGAGGAAACAGGTAATAGACATTGCAATAAAGCACTGGTTCGCAGACTTAGCATGCGTGGGAATCACCTGGGGCTTCTCAAACCACAGATTTCTGGGATCCAATTTGAGTTTCTGATTCAGGAGGAGTCTAATACTGCTGCTGTGATGACCATACCATGAGAACCACTGTACTACACGTGTCCAAAGCTTAGGTGACAGGCATACGTAGAGCTAGCTGCATGCACACAACAACTCATGCTTTTGTCTTTTTGCACAGCTGAGTCCAGTTTAATGAAGGTGTGCCCAGGGTGGTGGATGGAATGCATTCTGTGTTCCAATGGGTTGGCTTTGTCACCGGAGCAGTTACTTTCTAGTGGCTCTTGCAGTAAGCCCTGCGTGTTCTCCAAATGATGGAGCTACACCAGAAGCTTCTCTAGGGGGAACTAGCAGCATTTGGTACAGGAAGATTCAGCACTGGATTATAAAATTGCTTCAGCCTAGAAGACCGCTAATGCTAATACAAAGTGTGCTACTTCACACTAAACTGGCTTTCATGTCCAGTGTGCCCTAAGCATTTCCAAAACTTTTTTTTTTTTTTTGAGATAGAGTCTTGCTCTGTTGCTCAGGCTGGAGTGCAATGGTGCAATCTTAGCTCACTGCAACCTCCGCCTCCCAGGTTCAAGTGATTCTCCTGCCTCAGCCTCCCAAATAGCTGGGATTACAGGTGTTTGCCACCACACCCGGTGCTAATACTAAAATTTTTTGTATTTTTAGTAGAGATGGGGTTTCACCATGTTGGTCAGGCTGGTCTTGAACTCCTGATCTCAGGTGATCCACCCACCTCAGCCTCCCAAAGTGCTGGGATTACAGGTGTGAGCCACCGCACCCGGCCGCATTTCCAAAATGTTATGAGATTGCTACACAGTAATATTTAGTACCTCACCCAAAAGACCACCTACTCTTTTTTTGTTTTTGTTTTGAGACAGTTTCGCTCTTATTGTCCAGGCTGGAGAGCAATGGTGCAATCTCATGTCACCGCAACCTCCGCCTCCCGGGTTCAAGCGATTCTCCTGCCTCAGCCTCCCAAGTAGCTGGGATTACAGGCATGTGCCACCATGCCCAGCTAATTTTGTATTTTTAGTAGAGACGGGGTTTCTCCATGTTGGTCAGGCTGGTCTCGAACTCCCGACCTCAGGCGATCCGCCCGTCTCAGCCTCCCAAAGTGCTGGGATTACAGGCATGAGCCACCACGCCCAGCAAGACCACCTACTCTTTTCTCCTCCTTTGCTTTAATCAGTTTTTGCATTTTTTAATTTTTTAACCCATTTCTAAAATAGGTTAGACAAACAAAAATAAGAAATAATGTCAATAAAAGATGTTGCAGAGGAAATCTCATGGAGTGGATGTGATAGAACACAAAATAAACTTAGGAGTCCCTCTATCTCCCACCCTGTGCCAATTATGGTTCCCCTTGATGGGCTTATACTAAGGAATAAATTATAATTTTATTCTTGGTATACATGTAATAACTCATTTATTTTTTAATTTTCAAAAGATTCAACATGGGATTACAGCAAAAAATTTCCCCCAAAGTCAGAACTTTACTTCTACTAAATTGACAATATCTCCATGATTTAGATGTCTTGAGTCTCAAAAAGCACAGTAATTGGAAAAATCCCTTTACAATCCCATGCTTATATTTGTATATGATATTGATTCTCCAATCTTGTATAGAGGTTATGATGTGAGTACAGCTATTCTTAAAAACATAAAGGTACTTAATGTATGATTTCATTTCTATAATATTTTTGAGGTGAAAAAGTTTTTAGAAATAGAGGACAGATGATAGGTTGCCAGAAGTCAGGGTGGGGACAGGGAGGAAGGTAAATGTGGTTATAAACAGGAACCTTAACGAGATCCTTATGGCATCAGAACTGGTCAGTATGCTGACTGTGATGATAGATGCATAAATCTACATGTAATAAAATTGCATAAACTTAAACATATACACACACAATGAATACAAGGAAAACTGGTGAAATCTGAATAACATTGGTGGATTGTATCAATGTCAATATCCTGGTTGTAACATTAGCATTTGCAAAATGTTACCACTGGGGGAAACTAGGCAAAGTGTAAAAGGAAACTCTATTATTTCTTACAACTGCATGAGAAGCTACAAATACCTCAATAAAAATTTCATTTAAAAATACAGGGAAAGTCTTGTCAATCCAGAGACAATAAGAGACAATACAAGACCTTCAGGGAAAGGATAAGAGTCCCATTTTAGCCTCAAAACTCTTGAGATTTCATGGGTCAAAGACCAAGGACACACTCATAGCAGCTGAATGTGCCAGGCGAAATGGCACTGCCAATGTTGCTTCTCAGTCTCCTAGCTGTCTGAGCCGCAGTGTAAAGATTTATATAAAAGCGGAGAGAGAACAGAGGCATATGCTGGACCTCACCATCCCAGAGAACAATACAACTTAATAGTGTATAATCAAATGGCTAGAACACATATTCACAGGCTACAAGCAACAGACTTGCAGAAAAGTAATTGTGTACTTATTCAGTGTTGGCTCCCCTGCAGGCTGCATGAGGAAAGGAAAAGGCTGCATTAGTCTTGTTCACCACTGTGTCTTAGCTCCTAGCACTATGCTGGGCACGTAGCAGCTGCTCAATAACGTATTTGTTAAATGTTTTTGAATGAAAAAATGAAAAGCCCATGTGGCCTGTTAAAGTTAATATGGCTTCTCTCTCCCTTCTCTCCAAATCTCCCTTCCCCACTCTCTCTTCACCCACCACCTATGCTTAAACACATACACAGAGACACAGAGGCAGTTGTTTCTGCCACATACAAGTCAGGCAGTCATTTAACCTCTCTGTGCCTCAGCCTCCTCGTCTGTAAATGAGGACATTAATAATAACTACTTCAAAGGCCGGCCATGAGGATTAAATGAATGCAAATTTGTAGACCACTTACAGTATTACCTGGCATGTAGCAAGTGCCATGTAAGTGTTTGTTAAACTGCAGTGCTATCCGAAGTTAGCACAGACTTCAGAGGTCAAAGCATGGTCCTCCTCAAGACTCCCCTTCAGACACCTGCCACAAGCTTTGGGGTTCCCAGGCCACCTGCACTTCTGACCAGCTGTCTCTGTCATATGCCCAGGGCCTGAGCACTGTCTGCTAGGGTGCCTCAGTTCTCACCCACGCAGCTTCTCTCTACACATGATGTTTCATTGCTATTCGCTTTACTCCCTCAGGTTTCACAGAATGACTCATAGAACTCAAGAAAGTGCTTTCCTTGCTATTACAGTTTTATTATAAAGGACACATATCAGGACCAGCCAAATGAAGAGATGTATAGGGCGAGATGTGGGAGATTTCCCAAATAGAAGCTTACGTGTCCTCAGGAACGCTTCCCCCTCCTGACACTTTGATGAATGATTATCGACCAGTAAGCTCACCTGAGCTTCCACATCCAGAGTACTCACTGGGGTTCCATTATGTAGGCATAGTTGGTTAAATCACTGGCCACATGGCTGAACTCAGTCTCCAGCCCCAATCTGCTCCCCAGAGGTGGGCCTGCTTATGTGACTCAAAGCCTAAGCCCTCATGGTTGGCCGGCCCTTCTGGTGTGGCCAGCCTCCATTCTGAAATCATCTTGGGCCCTCCATGAGCCATCTCATTAGCATAAACTCAGGTGTATTTCCAGAGGCCCACCATGAATAACAAAGACACTTCTATCACTTGGGAAATTCTAAGGATTGAGGGTACCTCCCAGGAACCAGAGTCAAAGTCCAGTCAAATTCTTTATTATACAACGTGAGTTTACTGACTTGAACAGAAAGAGGGAGCAAGAGAAGCATTCTAGGAAACAGGTGTCTAAAAAGAAAGGCAGGAATAGTCAGCCACACTCATGGCATAGTAGGGAAACAGCCCCCAGCTAATTGGCTTTGCTATACAGTAGTCCCCCCTTATCTGAGGTTTCACTTTCTGTGGTTTCATTACCCGCAGGACGGTACAATAAGATATTTTGGGAGAGAGACTACATTCACATAACTTTTATTAAATTGTTCTAATTGTTCATCTCTTACTGTGCCTAATTTATAAACTTTATCATATGTATATACAGGAAAAAACATAGTATATACATGGTTCAGTACTATATGCAGTTTCAGGAATCTACTGGGGGTCTTGGAATGTATTCTCAGCAGATATGGGAGGACAACTGTACTGGAATGCACCAGCTTTGAGCCAAATAACCAGGGCTCTGAGTTTAGCTCCAAAGTTCAAGCACCTTCCTATTCTAGCAGCATCCGCCCTGATCCAGCATGGCGGCAAGAGCTTCTGCCAGTTCACAGCCTGACTACACGGCAGGCGCCTTTCCGGAACCGCCCGCTGGGTAGATTAAATTTCTCCGGCGCCCTGTAATGACACACACACAAAAAAAACCCGGGCGCGCCTTGTAAGAGGGCGGCCGGGTTTGCGCAGGCGCAGCGTGGCCGCGGGTGGGCGGAACTGGTCGGGATGAGTGGCGGAGGGACAGAGACCCCTGTGGGTTGTGAGGCCGCCCCGGGCGGTGGCAGCAAGAAGAGGGACTCCCTGGGGACTGCGGGCTCAGCGCACCTCATTATCAAGGGTACGGAGTGTCAGGGCTATAGTTCCTGGTGGATCCCAGCACAGCCTCATCTCCCAGGCGGCGCCCTCTGACCCGGGCCGACCCCCGGGTCCCGGGCTGGCGCGCGTGCGTTTGTGCGGGTGGGGGAGTCGTGGTCGGTCCCCGCCTTTTTCCCCGCGCCAAATGCGTCCCACCACAACCAACCAGCCCAACTCTTCGTGTTTCCCCGCTTTCCTCTGTCGCAGCCTGAGCCATCAGGCCCGCCCCCGTCCATTCCGCAAGCTCAGGACCCCTGGGCGCAGAGCCTTTGGGCAGCCTCGCCACCGACGTGTAGTGGAAAGGGCATTGGACCTGGGAGGCGGGAGGCAGTCGCTTAGGAGTTGAGTGACTTCGGGTCACTGGCTTTACTCACTCTCCTACCCGATCTGTTCCTGGTCGTGCGAGGAGTAAGTGAGATACACTTACGAAGGCGCTCTATAGCACTGTAAAGAACCATTCACGTTCAGAAATGTCCATGTGTTCTGTGTGCTTTGAGCTGGGAGAAGGTTACAACCTAGATTCTCACAGAATCTGCTTTAGGTTTGACTCCTAAAGCTCACAACGCTGTTTGCTGCGTGAAAGTCTTTGACAGTTGAGTTGTAGTGCTTTATATATACCAGATATAAAGTGCTTATATACAGTGCTTGTATTATTTTTTCTACTTGACATGCTTAAGAAGATATGTACTAATAAAATTCATTAAAATAGAGAATTGAAACCTGCCCATCGTATGTCTGCAAAAATGAAAAATTTGGGGAACATTGCCAGTGAATGAATATGAATAATACATTGTCTTAGATTTAATTTCTCAAGGAATTTTGAGACTTACATTTTAAACTACATAGTTGTAACTAAGAAGAATAATAAACTGACTCACCAAAAGACTTAAATTCAGACCTTTTCTTAATGACTTTTTCAGACTTATGAAAAAGAGACTTACAATGAACATTCACCACCCACCTTAATAAATAAATTACTAAAAGCCCCACTGTGTCTTGCTCTAATTGCACTAGTTCCCCTCCCTCGTCTCAAGGTAGCCACTATCCAGAATTTGGTGTTTATTATTCTTGTGCATTTCTTTATAGTTTTGTTGCTTCTGTCTATATCCCAAAAGGAAATATTTTGAATATTTTAAAGTTTTATGTAAATTGCTTTAATCCTTCTGAAACTTGCTTTTTTATTATATTTATTATAAAATACGTATTATTTTTTATATTTATGTTGATAAGTGTAACTCTGATGTATTTATTTTTACTTGGTGATTGATAGAATTCCATTGTATGAGTATGGTTAAGGTGTTTTGCGTTTTTTCTTTTGATATTACACCTATGCTGTAATAAATATGTATAAATGGCCTTACTCATTTGTGCAAGAGTTTTCCAGGGTACATACCTAGGCATGAAAATGCTAGGTATACATGTCTGCAACTTTATTGAATACTGAAAGATTGTTCTCAAAAGTAGTTGTATCAGTGTACACATCCACTGGCAGTGGATGAGATTTCTTCTTAGTCCATAGTCTAAACTGGATTTTAACCTTCATCTCTTAGTGGGGAAGGGAGAGAGTAAAACAAGCTAGAGATTATGCCATTTAGCATGGATTAACCCTGAATTTCATTTTATCTTTATAGATCTTGGAGAAATTCATTCAAGGCTTTTGGATCACAGACCAGTTATTCAAGGTGAAACTCGTTATTTTGTAAAAGAATTTGAAGTGAGTATTTAAACTTATTTTATAAAAGTACTTCCCTAATTGTTAGTGTGTTATTATACAGAAGAGAAATTCCCCAGTTTTAAAATCGGATTTTAGTTCATGTGTTCATAAAATATACAAAGTAAAAATGATGAAGACGTAAAAATTGTTGTTTTTAATGGGATAAGTTCCATACTAAACAGCAGGATACATAAGTTCTGGTGCCTGCTCTAGGGTATTTAATGTCTGTTGATCTGAGGTTTTTTTAATCTATAAAATGAGATATAGTGGGGGAAAAAAAGGGATTTTAGAGATTGATGGGTCTGAGTTTTTCAGACTCATTTTCTGTAATTTTTTCCTCAATTGAGACATCACCAATTATGCAAGCAGTCAAATTAAAACTTAAGGATTATCCTTGGCTATTTCCTTTCTTACAGGTTCCACATTCAGTGACCCCATCTTTTAGACGTTACCTAGATGTTTACCTCATAAATGTCGATTCTTTCTGACAGGTTTGCCTGCTTTATCAACGAAGTCAAATCCAGTTTTCACCCTGCTGCCAGAGGAATCTAACATTATTTCACTTTTTAAAACCTTTGATACTATTTCTGTCCACAGGATAAAGTCCAAGCATTGTTCTGTGACCTGGCTCCTGCTTTTCTAGCATAACCACCTGCTACTCTACCTTACATACTATGTTCCAGCGACAGTGATGCATGAACATGCCATCTTGTTTCCTATTACTGTAGTTTTGTACATGTATAATTGGTTTATTGTGCTTTAAGCAGTAACTTCTCAAACTGCTGTTGGGATGGTAAATGGTGTTGCACAAACAATTTTGTGATTCTGTGTAAGTTTCAGATTTTTGCAAATGATACTGACCAGTCAGGATGTGCAAACATGCCAAAAGGAGAGTACCTTTTAATAAACCCAGTTGAGGGCTTATTAAAGATAGAGGCCCAGAGCTGTTGCATTAGATAAGCATTTCTGGGTGCAAAAGATGCTGTGACTCATAAACTGCATCATACTTCCCAGGATCTGTGCATTTTAGAATATTGTCTGGGACCTAGGAATTAACTAGGTACATAGCCAAGTTAATTATACATGTTAAGTAACATGTGTAATTGGTTCAGTTAACATGTTAATTAGCGTGTGTAATTGGTTTAGTTAACATCTTAACGTGTATAATAGGTTCATTGTTCGTTAAGCAGTAAGTTCCCACAATCTGATTATACCACATCGTCATCATTTAAAAAAAATTTTTAAGTCTTTTTTATCTTTTTGATATTTTATTTATTTATTTGTCATCATTATTTATTATTCTTATTAGGAATAAGAATAATGTGGGAGACACAGAAAATTATCCAGAGACTATTCCTTTACCGTGCTGTGTAAAGATGGTTACCAATTCCTTAGTAAGAAGAAAGTGGAGGCCAGGCGAGGTGGCTCAATTTATCCCAGCACTTTGGGAGGCCGAGGTGGGCAGATCACTTGAGGTCAGGAGTTTGAGACCAGCCTGGCCAACATGGCAAAACTCCATCTCTACTTAAAAAAATACAAAAATTAGCCGGGCATGGTGGCATGTGCCTGTAGTCCCAGCTACTCGGGAAGCTGAGGCAGGAGAATCTCTTGAACCCAGGAGGTGGAGGTTGCAGTGAGCCGAGAACGCGCCATTGCACTCCAGCCCTGGCGATGGAGCAAGACTCTGTCTCAAAAAAATAAAAAAAGAAGAAAGTGGAAATTTCTATACAAACTTGCTATAAGATTTTTACAGTGTGTTGTATAAATATGTTTTTAAAATTGTATTGAGTTTTACATGTATAGAGTGTGGATTTAGTTCTTAAATGTGGGAGTTATATTTTCTTCTTTTTACTTCACTTCAGCAACCACATTATCAGCAAATCTACCTCTAAAACATATCTTAAATCTTTCTACTTATCTTTCTTGCCACTACCCCTATCCCAACCCAGCTCACCGTCAGCCCTCACCCGGCCACCTGCAGTAGGCCCCTACCTGGTCTCCTTAATTTCAGTCTTATCTCTGTGAAATAACCTTTCTCACACAGTAGCCAAATGGTCTGCAAATCCTGTTGTACCACACCCTTGCTTAGCCTCCTCCTACTTTGGCTTTTCTTTACATGGAAAGCGCACTCCAGCTCCTTGGCTCTACTTAAAAATCCTAGATGATCTCTGACCTCTACTTGTCTTTCAGACTTTATTGTACACAACTCTTCCCTCCTTGTGTTTCAGCCACAATTCTTCCTTTCTTTTTCTTTAACACATCACGATTGTTACAGCATCAGCAATTCCATCTTCCTAAGATGCTGCTACTTCTCATTTTTCGCATGGCTCATTATTTTTGGTTTAGATTGCAGGTTAAGTATCACCTCCAGCCCTTTAATCCAAAGCAGTAACCAGTACACTCTATCATGTCACCCTAATTTACTTCTCTATATGGCACTGTATTCATTTTCTAAGTCTATGTAATAAATTACCACAAATTTAACAGGTCAGAACAGCTTATAGTAACAGCTGGTTATATAAAGTCAAACAAAATGTGTTGAGCACTTATTTTATGTGAGGCATAATATCAGGAAGTAATGATATGCCAGTGAATAAGACAGACATAGTCCCACCCTTCGTTCTTACGGTGCTTTGAAGAATGGTCTTTATTATTGAAGAATGGTCTCTGAAGGGCTCAAGAACATTTTATCAGCTAAGTTTGAGTTGCTTTTCTTGAAAAGTACTTGATCCAGTCTTTTCACACAGTGACCAACACAAGACCAATTGGTCTTCCCTCCCCATTTGGCCTTCCTGAGGGTTTAGTGTAGCACACAACTTCAGGCTCAAATGCCTTTTCTGTCTGTTATAACTCTCATCTCAAATTAGAAGGAAAAAGCTCAACATGTTTCAGAGGCTTTAGGTTTGAATATACATCTGCATTATTTGTACTTCTTTTCTATCATGGCCGAAACAATGATATCAGATAATTAATAAATGTGGTCTTTGGTTAGATAGAGTGGCAAAGCAGAGCTGCTGGTACCTCCTGGAAGTTTCATCTTTTCTGTATCATTTGAATGTAGGTTACTTTAAGAAAAACTGGCTAGCACTTAAAACTAAAGTTGTTTATATGTTTAAAAAACTTAAGGTATATGGCAACAATTACCTTTTTCTTTATAAAATTTTATTTGTAAAAGAAGGGAGTAAGTACCACATGGTGGCAGCATTACTTAAATTATTGAAGTCCTCTTAGGCTATTTTAAGCTCTCTTTTTGTTTTCATTAATATTTAAGGACAGATGACTGTCTGTCTCCTGACTTTATACAAACTCTTTTTCCCTTGATTCCAATGAACATTATGGACAGAGATTCATAAGGATCTCACCTTTCAGGTGGAATCCTTCCAGTGAGTATTAATGTAATAGTATCAGTGGGTAAAGGCATTGTCCTCTGTGCCACTGTCTTTCTAGCCTTGGAGGAACTGTTATGGCCTTTCTCAGGTGGAGCAGAGCAGAGACTGATGGTGGTCAACAAGTATTTAGACATGCTTATAGAGTATATAGTCCTGTATAAGTTCCTTATTTAGTTTTTAGCAAACTTTATTCATGCAATGCTTTATGGAACAGTTATTGAATACCTATGTATATCAGTAAGGAATGTGTTTAGTTAATAGTGACAGATATCTGAAAAATAGTGGATTTAACAAGTGATTAATTTTCTATCACAATATGCAGAGTTTAGAGTTAGCTTAGGGCTGGAATGGTGGCCCTATAACGTCAGCTTTTTCTTCCAGTTTTACCTTCTATCCCCCTAGGATGTTGCCTTTGTCCATATGCTTACAAGGTGGCATTTTTTTTGTTTTGTTTTGAGACAGGGTCACGCTCTGTAACCCAACCTGGAGTGCAGTGGCACGATCATGGCTTACTGCAGCCTCAACCTGCTGGGTTCAAGCAGTCTTCTTACTTCAGCCTCCCAAGTAGCTGGGACCACAGTAACCCGTCCTCTGAATGGAGCTGCATAGCTCCCTTCTCTGTTCTTACTTGTGTTTGTCTTTGAACTAAGAGACCATTCTCTTGTACATGTAAATTAGTCTCTGCCATAAGGAATGAAATAGTTTCCACTACTCTCTCTTGATTCTTCCAGATTACAATGCCATGGCCGGCTATTTTTTTTTTTTTTTTTTTTTTTTTTTTTTTTTTCATAGAGACAGGGTCTCACTGTGTTGCCCATGCTGGACTCAAACTCCTGGGCTCAATTGATCCTCCTACCCCAGTCTCCAAAAGTACTGGGATTATAAGCATGAGCCACCATGCTCGGCCTACAAGGTGGCTTTTGGACCTCCAGCCATTACATGTGCATTTCATGTAGCAAAAAGGAAGGCAGTTAGGAAATAGCTAGCAGTCTCTGTTATAGGCATGTTACCACTCCAAATAAAATTTAGGTGTTGATAGCAAGAGAGAAGGGAATGGAGGCAGAGGTACCAGTCATACAAGACATGTACAAATAAATAGGAAACAATTCCTACCTCCGTGAAGTTTACCATCTAGGGAGAAGAAAGGCATGTAAACAAAGAGTCATCATGGTGTAATTGTTATAAGCACGAAAGACTTGAGAGCTCAGAAGAGGAAACAACTCGAGAAACAACTTCTAAGAGAGCTCAGGGAAATTTTCATAGAATGGGTGATGTTTGGACTGAAAGAAAAATAAGTGTTAGGAAAAATGAAGCAAATGTTGGTTAAAATTAGAGACAAAAAGAAAAGTATTTAATAGTGCAATAATTATAAGAGTTGAGTGGGATTGTTTTAATTAATTCTAATGTGGGTTAAATTGATCAAGAGAAAATTCCTCCAAAGGCAGCACAGGAATTTCACTTGATCTCCTGATTCCTTGTTTTTGGTTAGATTACTAGAGACACTGTCAGGTTAAAACATCATTTTATCAGAGTGTCTGTTCCATATAACACATGAGAAGTATGTGTAGACACCGTATGGTTTTAAATCTGGTGACTGAAAGAAAAATTTAAATTATGTCAGTCTCTCATTTTCTCTCTAATGCTATCAGATTACATCAGAAACCAAGCTTTATGAGTGCTGAGCTTTGCTCTGAGAATTTTCATGCCAGAAACAATATACATATATAAATAAACAAATGTTAGTATATTCTTCCTTGTGTGATAAGTGCGAACAGTTACCCCTCAGTTAAAAATATCAGCATAAAAACAAACGCACACCAGATGGTGAGTTTAAGGGAAGAGACTTTCTAACGTCTTTTTTGTATAATAGTGTCATGGGTTTTTTGGGGTTTTTTTGTCTTTTCTTTTTTTCTTTTCTTTTTTTTGAGACGGAGTTTCACTCTTGTTGCCCAGGCTGGAGTACAATGGTGCGATCTCGACTCACTGTAACCTCCCCCTCCCAGATTCAAGCGATTCTCCGGCCTCAGCCTCCCAAGTAGCTGGGATTACAGGCATATACCACCATGTCCAGCTAATTTTGTATTTTTTTAGTAGAGAACAGGGTTTCACCATGTTGGCCAGGCTGGTCTTGAACTCCTGACCTCAGGTGATCCAACTGCCTCGGCCTCCCAAAGTGCTGGGATTACAGGCGTGAGCCACCACGCCAGGCCTTTTTTTGTCTTTTAAATTGATTATTAATGGGTTGTTAGAGAGCTATGGCTACTAATTCACTTACTGTGTGTAACTACCCGTTTGCCTGCTACAATAAATAACCCTTTAAATAAGTAGTTCTCTTAGTAGGTCACGGACTCCTTTAAGAATTTTTTTCCCCAGAAAAATGCATAGAGAACATGTCTTCAATTTGACTACAATTTCAGGAGCACCCTGGAACCCCAAAGCCCATTTATAGGCCCCAGAATAATAACCTGTCCCCTGAATGGAGCTGCATAGCTCCACTCTCTGTTCTTAGTTGTGTTTGTCTTTGAACTGAGAGACCATTTTCTTGTACATGTAAATGAGTCTGTGCCATAAGCATTGAAATAGTTTCCACTACTCTCTCGATTCTTCCAGATTACAATACCATCTGGAGAAGGTGGCAGTGGCGGGGGCATAGTTTTATGTTTTGTTTTTTTTCCCCCTTGAATATGTCTAAAAACAGAGCAATTAGCACAGCAAACCCAATCTACATCTGTAATAAAACCAGGCAACAGGGTACCCATGATACCAATGGCCAAGTCACCAACAGCTAAAAGGCTTCTGTGGTATCAGAACTGCCAGAGGGAGTGGAAAGAATGCAGAGGGACTTGCGAGAGCCTTGAGTGCTAGACAACCTCAAAATTCCCACCAGATAGATCTGGGAAGCCTGATGGGTGTTTTAGTCTGTTGCGTGATGCTCTAACAGAATACCTGAAACTGAGTAATTTATAATGAGGAGAAATGTATTTGGCTCACAGTTCTGGAGGCTGGGAAGTTATCAAAGGGGCTTCGTCTGGTGAGTGCCTTCTGACTATGTCATCCTATGGTGGGAGGCAGAAGGTAAGAAAAGTTAAGAGAGAAAGAGAAGGGGGCTGAACTTGTCTACTTATAAAGGAAACCATTCTTTTGATGATGGCCTTAATCCATTCATGAGGGCACAGCCCTCATGAACTAATCACCTCTCGTTAGGCCCAGACCCCACCTCCCAACACTGTGGCATTGGGCATTATATTTCCAGCACACAGTTTTGGGGGATACATTCAAACTATAGCAGTGGGCCATTTGGAGAACAGCAGCAGAAACTGGGAGGGGACTTCACAGGCTCCAACTTAGGAGTAGGTGCTAGGGGGCTGTAGGAAAACCTAATGGTGCTGAAGCAGTCAGGGGCTTTGGAACTCCCAAACCAAAACACCCTTTCACAATAATGTTTTACACTGTAGAAAAATTGTAGGAAACTGAATACTTTGTGAAACGAAAAAGGGAGTTATACAACTCTAAAGTTAAAAAGGCTATTCTCACCACCCCTCCCTTCTAAAAATAGTGGAAAACTAATTTCACTTAAAGTCGAGCAAGAGTCAAATCCCACACAATTGATTAGAGGATAAAGAACAGAATAATATTCCTCGAGGAAATAAGAAAGATTTGACCACACAAAAAATAGAACTATAACCTAGTATTTTATTGTATATATTTTTTGAGACAGAGTCTTACTCTTCTCCCGGGCTGGAATGCAGTGGTACAATCTCGGCTCACTACAACCTCCACCTTCTGGGTTCCAGTGATTCTCCTGCTTCAGCCTCCCAAGTAGCTGGAATTGCAGGCACACGCCACCACACCTGGCTGATTTTTGTATTTTTTAATAGAGACAGGGTTTCACCACGTTGGCCAGGCTGGTCTCAAAAACTCATGACCTCAGGTGATCCACCCGCCTCGGCTTCCCAAAGTGCTGGGATTACAGGCGTGAGCCACCATGCCCAGCCTAACCTAGTATTTTAACATGAGCTCTGGGAGCATAAGAAAATTGTAGAAGCAAGGAAAGAACGATATAACTCATAAAAGGAAAAACTCAGAAATGATCAGGTAAAATAATTAGCAAAAATAAAAGGTCAGGTGAAAGAATTCAGGAAAAAGAAATTTAAAAATATTTCATAAATGAAAACTAAACTAAAAGGAACATGAGTGAATAAACAACTGAAGAGTCCTTAAGTGAAGTTGAAAATTGGAATGAAAAATTGAAATATGTGTGATAATGAGCCACTAGAAAAAAGACCAAAGCGATGTAATAGAGCAAATATAAATACAAAAACTAGAAGTCAAAAAAACTTTCTTGAAGTAAAATACTAAAATTATATTGAAGGGCACACTACTACATTCAGGGAAAATTAACCCAGAACAGACAACGCTAAGATAGTTACCAATAAATCTCTTAGACTTTATAGAAAAAGAGTCCTCTGGGCATCCAGACAAAATGGCTAAGTCCTTCATAAGGGCAAGAAAACGCAGTTGTTAACAGATATATCTGTCTCATGCCAGAAGGCAATGGAATAACAGCCAGGGGCTTTATATCCAGCCAAATTGACCCCCAGGTACAGGAACCACACACTATTAGGTCATGCAAGGACTCTGGGATGATTGTTCCAATGAGCCTTTCCTAAGGAATCTGTTACACAACAGAATGAATTTCAGCCAACCAAAATGATTAGAGAGACTTCTACCTAACAACAGTGGGTAAGCATTCAATATATATTTACTTACAGAATGAAGACTAAACCATAGTTAAAGGCAGACAGTGTAATATCCAGTGGCTGTGTGTTCTGACGGTGAAGATGTAGTGTAACTATCAGAAAATAGAAGGAGATGGTGAGTGTATGTGAAAAGTAGGATTTCCTTATTGATTGCCTTGTAAATATTAACTGGAAGTAAAAGGATGCTGTTTCAAATTGGATCCCAAAAAGGAGGGAAAAGCTGGGAAAAGAGAAGATTATCACCTAATATTAATATTGCTAATAAGTAGGAAACCAATAAACAGTCACCAAAAAAGTGAAGGTGTTATATACAAAGTTATCATATAAAGTGTAGGTTGGGTGTCCCTAATCAAAAATTCCAAAATCCAAAATGTCCCAATAAGCATTTTCTTTGAGCATCATGTTAGCATTCAAAAAGTTTCAGATTTTGGAGCATTTCAGATTTTGGATTTTCGAGTTAAGGGTCCTTGATCTGTGTTAGTGTAAACATAACTGTGAGAACAAGAACACCAACTTTTCTAAATAACTGGAAGATACACCAAAAAGAGAGAACAAAGACCACACAGAGAAAGATTTTATATATATATTATGTATGTGTGTGTGAATTTGACTCATGAAATAAGAAAAGTCTATATCACGTTTCTGTTTAAGAAAGGGAATTTAAAAGTATGTACAATATATTGGTATATTTCAGAAATATTGTGGGTTTGGTTACAGGCCTCTGCAATGACGTGAATATTGCAATAAAGCAAGTTAAACAAATTTCTTGGGTGCCCAATTAATAGAAAAGTATGTTTACACTATCCTGTAGTCTATTAAGTTTGCAGTAGCATTATGTCTAAAAAGCAATATACATACCTTAATTTAAAAATACTTTCTTGCTAAGGCTGCTAATAATCTCAGCCTTCAGCAAGTCATAATCTTTTTGCTAATGGAGAATCTTATTTCGATGTTAATGGCTGCTGACTGACTGATCAGGGTGGTGGTTGCAGAAGGTTGGGGTGGCTGTGGCAATTTCTTAAAATAAGACAACAATGAAGTTTCCCACATCAATTGACTCTTCCTTCTACAAAGATTTGTCTGTAGCATAAAATGCTGCTTGGTAGCGTTTTACCCACAGTCGAAGTTTTTTCGAAATTTCATTCTTCTCAAACCCTGCTGCTGCTGCTTTATTAACTAAGTCTATATAATATTCTAAACCTTTTATTGTCATCTCAGTCGTGTTCACAGCATTTTCAACATGTCTTTCTAAGTGTAATCATTTCTAGCTTTTGATTAAAGTGGGAGTTGTGCGACTCTTCCTTTACTTGAACACGTAGAGGCCATTGTAGGGTTGTTAATTGGCCTAATTTCACCAGGAGTAGATTCCATCTCAAGGAACTGCATTCTTTGCTCATCCATAAGAAGCAGATCCTCATCTGTTCAAGTATTATTATAAGATGCAGCAATTCAGTCACATCTTCAGGCTCCACTTCTTTTTTTTTTTTTTGACAGAGTCTCGCTCTGTTGCCCGGGCTGGAGTGGTGCAGTGGTGCAGTCTTGGCTCACTGCAAGCTCCGCCTCCTGGGCTCACGCCGTTCTCCTCCCTCAGCCTCCCAAGTAGCTGAGACTACAGGCACCCGCCACTGTGCCCGGCTAATTTTTTTGTGTTTTTTTAGTAGAGACAGGGTTTCACCATGTTAGCCAGGATGATCTCGATCTCCTGACCTCGTGATCTGCCAGCCTGAGCCTCCCAAAGTGCTGGGATTACAGGCGTGAGCCACCGCACCTGGCCTTCAGGCTCCACTTCTAATTCTAGTTGTTTTGCTTTTTCCACCCCATCTATAATGGCTTCCTCAGCTGAAGTCTAGAACTGCTCAAAGTCACCCATGAGGGTTGGAATCAACTTCTTCCAAACTCCTGTTAATGTTGATACTTTGACCTCTTCCCATGAATCATTAATGTTCTTAATGGCATCTAGAATGGTGAATCCTTTCCAGAAGGTCTTCAATTTACTTTGTCCAGATCCATCAGTGAAATCGCTGTCTGTGGCAGCTATTAAGAAATCTATTTCTTAAATAATAAGTCTTGAAAGTTGAAATGATTTCTTAATCCATGCGCTGTAGAATGAATGTTGTACCTCGGGCGCGGTGGCTCACGCCTGTAATCCCAGCACTTTGGGAGGCCGAGGCGGGTGGATCACAAGGTCAGGAGATCGAGACCATCCTGGCTAACACGGTGAAACCCCGTCCCTACTAAAAATACAAAAAAATTAGCCGGGCGTGGTGGCGGGCGCCTGTAATCCCAGCTACTTGGGAGGCTGAGGCAGGAGAATGGCGTGAACCCGGGAGGCGGAGCTTGCAGTGAGCCGAGATCGCACCCTGCACTCCAGCCTGGGTGGCAAGACTCCGTCTCAAAAAAAAAAAAAAAAAAAAAGGCATGGATGTTCTATCAGCAGACATAATAACAACACGCATCTTCTTGTCTATCTCCATCAGGTAACCAGGTGTATTGTCATTGAGCAGTGATATTTTGAGAGGAGTCTTTTTTTCTGAGCAGTAGGTCTCAACAGTGGGCTTCAGTAAACCATACTGTAAACAGATGTGCTGTCATCCAGGCTTTGTTGTTCCTTTTATAAAGCACAGGCAGAGTAGATCTAGCATAATTCTTTATGACCCTAGGATTTTTGGAATGGTATGTGAGCACCGGCTTCAACTTCAAGTCACCAGCTGCATTAACCCCTAACAAGAGAGTTAGCTTGTCCTTTGAAGCTCTGAAGCCAGGCATTGACTTCTCTCTAGCTATGAAAGTCCTAGATGGCGTTTTCTGCTAATAGCAGGCAGTTTCATATACATTGGAAGTCTGTTGTTTAGTGTAGCTACTTCAGCAATGATCGTAGCTAGATCTTGCAGTCTACGTTAGCATTTGTTGCTTCACCTTGCACTTGTATGTTATGGAGATGGTGTCTTTCCTTAAATCTCATGAACCAACCTCTGCTGGCTTGGCTTCAAACCTTCCTTCTGCAGCTTCCTCACCTCTCTCAACCTTCATAGGATTGAATAGAGTTAGGGCCTTCCTCTCAATTAGGCTTTGGCTTAAGAAAATGTTGTGGCTGGTTTCATCTTCTGTCCAGACCACTCAAACTTTCTCCCTATCAGCAATAAGGCTGTTTCACTTTCTTATCATTCGTGTGTTCACTAGAATAACTTTTTTTTTTTTTTGAGATGGAATCTCACTGTCACCAGGCTGGAGTTCAGTGGCGCAGTCTCGGCTCACTGCAGCCTCCACCTCCCAGGTTCAAGCAATTCTCCTGCCTCAGCCTCCTGAGTAGCTGGGACTACAGGTGTGCACCACCCTGCTCAGCTGATTTTTGTATTTTTAGTAGAGACAGGGTTTCACCATGTTGGCCAAGATGGTCTCGATCTCTTGACCTTGTGATCTGCCCACCTCGGCCTCCCAATGGAATAACATTTTTAATTTCCTTCAAGAATCTTCCTTTTCCACTGGGCACAGTTGCTCATGCCTGTAATCCCAGCACTTTGGGAGGCCGAGGCGGGCAGATCACCTGAAGTCAGGAGTTCAAGACCAGCCTGGCCAACATGGCGAAACCCCGTCTCTACTAAAAATACAAAAATATTAGCCAGGCATTGTGGCACTTGGCTGTAGTCCCAGCTACTTGGGAGGCCGAGGCATGAGAATTGCCTGAACCTGGGCGGCAGAGGTTGCGGTGAGCCGAGATCACACCGCCGCACTCCATCCTGGGTGACAGAGTGAGACTCTGTCTCAATAAAAAAAAAAAAAAAAGTTTCTTTTCCATTCTCATCTTGGCTAAATATCTGGTGCAAAAGGCCTCGCGTTCATCCTGCCTTGGCTTTCAACATGCATTCTTCACTAAGTGTAATCATTTCTAGTTTTGGATTAAAGTCAGAGATTTATGACTCTTTATTTACTTGAACACTTAGAGGCCATGTGGGGTTATTAATTGGCCTAATTTCAGTGTGTCACAGGGAATACGGAGGCCCAAGGAGAGGGAAAGAGATGGGGGAATGGCCAGTCAGTGAGCAATGAGAACAGACCCAACATTCATAGATTAAGTTCATGGTCTTATGTGATTGTGGTTTGTGGCGCCCCAAAACTATGACAACAGTAACATCAAAGATCACTGATCACAGATCACCCTTACAGGTGTAATAATAATGAAAACTTGTGAAATTTTATGAGAATTACCCAAATGTGACAAAGGGACACAAGGTGAGCTCATGCTGATGGAAATATGGCACCAATAGACTTGCTTGAAACAGCGTTGCCACAAACCTTCAATTTGTAAAAAACATAGTATCTGCAAAGCATAGTAAAGTGAGGTATGCTTGCGTACACTTAGAAGTATATACATCCACCGGACACAGTGGCTCACACCTGTAATCCCAGCACTTTGGGAGGCTGAGGTGGGTGGATCGCTTGAGCTCAGGAGCTTGAGACCAGCCCTGGGCAACATGATGAAACCCCGTCTCTACAAAGAATACAAAAATTGGTCGGGCATAGTGGCTTGTGCCTGTTCTCTCAGCTACTTGGGGGCTGAGGCGGGAGGATCGCTTGAGCCCAGGAAGCGGAGGTTGCAATGAGCCAGAATCACACCACTCTACTCCAGCCTGGGCAACAGAGTGAGACCCTATCTCAAAAAAAAAAAAGTATATACATAATTATATACACATTGACATGTATGCATTTATATATGCATGTATGTACTTAAAACAGTGGTTGGATAAGTTGTTAATAATTACCTAAAGGGAAAGCTATGGAGGAGATAGGGTGCAAAGGATAGGAGTAGAAGCTACACTTCTTTGAATGTATTTTGTTTTACAGATATAGTTTTGGAGCCATATAAATGTTTTACATAATTTAAATTTTAAATTTAAAGAGCAATTCCTAAAAATCAAGTAAAATTTACAGAAAAAAGCCTGTGTTTTTGGATGGTGACATTGCTACTCAGAGAGAAATTGTTCCACGTTCTTTCTTTCCTTTCTTTTTTTTTTTGAGACGAAGTCTTGCTCTTGTCCCCCAGGCTGGAGTGCAATGGCGCGATCGCGGCTCACTGCAGCCTCCATCTCCCAAGTTCAAGCGATTCTCCTGCCTCAGCCTCCCGAGTAGTTGGGATTACAGGTGCCTGCCACCACGCCCGGCTAATGTTTGTATTTTTAGTAGAGATGGGGTTTCACCATGTTGGCCAGGCTGGTCTCGAACTCCTGACCTCATGTGATCTGCCCATCTCGGCCTCCCAAAGTGCTGGGATTACAGGCATGAACCACTGTACCTGGCCTCTTTCTTTCCCCCCTCCCCTCCCCTCCCTTCCTCTCCCCTCCCCTCCTCTTCTTTCTTTCCTTTCTTTTCTTTCTTTTGAGGCGGAGTCTCTTTCACCTAGGCTGGAGTGAAGTGGTGTGATCTCGACTCACTGCAGCTTCTGCCACCCTGGGTTCAAGTGATTCTCCTGCCTCAGCCTCCTGAGTAGCTGGTATTACAGGCGTACACCACCATGCCCAGCTAATTTTTGTATTTTTAGTAGAGATGGGGTTTCACCATGTTGGCCAGGTTGGTCTTGAACTCCTGACCTCAGGTGATCCGCCCACCTCAGCCTCCCAAAGTGCTGGGATTACAGGCGTGAGCCACCGTGCCCAGCCAACTCTTCCACATAATTTCAAGGCACAATGATTTGACTTTACATCCTAGTGAAATATACCTTCAAAAGAAAAAGTTAAAAAATATATATTAAATTTCTTATTTTAGTAATCATTTTGTTGATGCTAGTATTGGTATTATGACTTGACTGAATCAGCGATAAAACAAACAATTATGTTGGTGTTTTGATAACTGGAAAGAAACAGATAAGACAGAAGAGGGTAATTAGAAATTCTGTGGTCTTTAATTTAAGTTTGACTATCAGTATGAACTCAAGATATATCTATTTTTTAAAAAAATACATATTTCCTAGCCTTCTCCGCTGAAAAGTTAGAAACAATGACCAACCCAATAAAAGTGAGCAGCCTTAGTGCTCAGTCTCCGAATTCCATTTCTACATCCCAGTGGGAGGTTAGACACCTGCTCATTCCAAGTCCAGAGCAGGAGATGGAGAGGATGAACCTGGAGCATCAGATCATGCCAGAAAGCAAATGAGCTACTACAAAATACTAGAGTTTTGTCTGAAGCATTCCAGAGCCAGCTTGAATAGGCTCCCACTGGACAAAGCTGGGATAATCTGAGTACCAATTATCTGGTGCAAAAGGCCTTGCGTTTGTCCTATGAGAAATACTGCAATGGATTGAAAAACTTCAAATATCTCTAAATCTATGAGTCATAGGGATATGTACAAACAAACAAAAAACCTTTCTAATCACCTTTAGTGGATACTAGGGAGCCAACTCATTATTTTTGAAACTGGTAAATACGGGAGAAAGAATCAAGTGTTCTGTCTTGCCTTTTGTATGTGAACATTACTCAGAGTAACCAAGTTGTTGTTGGGGGCAGTTTCTCCTCATAGAGTATTTCTGCTAGTAAACAAAGACAGAATGCTACCAAGATGCTGTTGAGAGTATACAACCCATGTCTGAAAAATTCTTGCAAACAAAAAACAGAACCCTGAATTTGATCAGGGCTTTAGTTCTAACGACTAATTTACAGGAAAGAGAACAGACAAAGGAGTATGTTAAATTACACCATGGGGATTCATTCAGCAAACAACAGACTGTGGGAAACTGTGCAGAACAAATGACTCACTTTTTTCCAACAAATTGCAAGGGAAAAAAGTGAAAGGGGAAATCTATTGGTTAAAAAGGACTTAAGAAACATATTAATCAATTGCAGTATATAAAACTCGTTTAGGTTGTGGTTCAAACAAACTGGGGGATAAAAAACATTTATAGGACATTTGAGGGAATGTGAACACTACTTTGATATTAAAAAATTGTTGGCCAGGCGTGGTCAACAAATGTCTTTTATAGAGAGATGGGACAACCCTGTCTCTATAAAAAATACAAAAATTAGCCAAGTGTCATAATGTGCGCCTGTAGCCCCAGCTACTTGGAAGGCTGAGGTAGGAGGATTGCTTGAGCCAGGGAGGCAGAGGTTGCAGTGAGCCAAGATTGTGCCACTGCACTCCAGCCTAGAAAACAGAGCCAGACCTTGTCTCAAAAAAAAAAAAAATTACTGTTGACTGTGTGTGTGTGTGTGTGTGTGTGTGTGTGTGTGTGTGTGAGAGAGAGAGAGAGAGAGGTGGTCTTATTGTTTGTTTAAGGCAAGTCTCTTGTTTTAAAGATATTAATATATGTTGAGATCAAGCATGGTGGCTCATGCGTGTAATTCCAGGACTTCAGGAGTCCAGGGTGGGAGTATTGCTTGAGCTCAGGAGTTTGAGGCCAGCCTGGACAACAAAGTGAGAGCCTGTCTCTACAAAAAATTTTTAAAAAAGAAAAATGAGCCAGGTGTGGTGGTGTGCACCTGTCCTCCCAGCTATTGGGAGGCTGAGACAGGAGGATTGCTTGAGCCCAGGAGTTCAAGGCTGCAGTGAGCCATGATCACACCACTGCACTCCAGCAGTAGTGTGATCTCAGCGACAGAACAAGACCCTGTCTCTACAACAGCAAACAAAAAAAAAGATACAGGTTGAAATATTTAACAGTTGAAATGATATACTTTCTAGGATTTGCTTCAAAATAATCTAGAGGGAATGAGGTATGGAACATTGTGGAGGGGAAAAAAATCAGTCATGAGAATTGTTGAAGCTTGGAGTATATGAGAGTTTGTTATATTATTCTCTCACAACTTTTGTATAAGTTGTTAATATTTTATTATGGGAAAATTAGAAAAAGTCAGAAACTGGCCTTATAAGAATGGCTCAAAAAAAATAAAAAACCTCAGTAACATATCTAGTCTATTATTTTTTCATAGTCAAGTTTACCACTCTTTTTTTTAGTAACTTCTTATTTTAATTTTAGATTTGTAGAAAAATTGCAAAGATAGTACAGATAATTCCCATGTACCCCTGTGTTAGTCCATTTTCATGCTGCTTATAAAGGCATACCCAAGATTGGGAAGAAAAAGAGGTGTAATTGGACTTAAACAGTTCCACATGGCTGGGGAGGACTCAGAATCATGGTGGCTGGCGAAAGGCACTTCTTACATGGTGGCAGCAAGTGAAAATGAGAAAGAAGCAAAAGCAGAAACCCCTGATAAGCCCATCAGATCTCATGAGACTTATTCACTGTCATGAGAATAGTATGGGAAAGACTGGCCCCATGATTCAATTACCTCCCCCTGGGTTCTTCCCACAACACGTGGGAGTTCTGGGAGATACAATTCAAGTTGAGATTTGGGTGGGGACAGAGCCAAACCATATAATTCCACCTTTGGCCCCTCCAAATCTCACGTCCTCACATTTCAAAACCAATCATGCCTTCCCAGCAGTCCCCCAAAGTCTTAACTCATTTCAGCATTAATCCCAAAAGTCCACAGTCCAAAGTCTCCTCTGAGACAAGGCAAGTCCCTTTCACCTGTAAGCCTGCAAAATCAAAAGCGAGATAGTTACTTCCTAGATACAATGGGGTTACAGGTATTGGGTAAATACAGCCGTTCCAAATGAGAGAAATGTGCCAAAACAAAGGGATTACAGTGCCCATGCAAGTCCGAAATCCAGTGGGGCAATCAAATTTTAAAACTCCAAAATGATCCCCTTTGACTCCAGGTCTCACATTCAGGCCACACTGATGCGAGAGGTGGATTCCTATGGTCTTGGGAGGCTCCAGCCCTGTTGCTTTGCAGGGTACAGCCTCCCTCCTAGCTTCTTTCATAGGCTGGCATTGAGTGTCTGTGGCTTTTCCAGGTGCATGGTGCAAGCTGTCGGTGGATCTACCATTCTGGGGTCTGGAGGACGGTGGTCCTCTTCCCACAACTCCGCTAGGCAGTGCCCCAGTAGGGACTCTGTGTGGGGGCTCCGACCCCACATTTCCCTTCTGCACTGCCCTAGCAGAGGTTCTCCATGAGGGCCCCACTCCTGCAGCAAACTTTTGCCTGGACACCCAGGCATTTCCTTACATCTTCTGAAATCTAGGCAGAGGTTCCCAAACCTCCATTCTTGACTTCTGTGCACCACAGGCTCAACATTACTTGGAAGCTGCCAAAGCCTGGGGCTTCCACCCTCTGAATTCACAGCCCAAGCTGTATGTCGGCCCCTTTCAGCCACTGCTGGAGTGGCTGGGACATGGGGCACCAAGTCCCTAGGCTGCACACAGCATGGAGGCCATGGACCTAGCCCACAAACCACTTTTTACCCCTAGGCCTCTGGGCCTGTGATGGGAGGGACAGCCATGAAGACCTCTGACATGCTCTGGAGACATTTTCCCCATTGTCTTGGGGATTGACATTTGGCTCCTTGTTACTTATGCAAATTTCTGCAGCCGGCTTGGATTTCTCCTCAGAAAATGAAATTTTCTTTTCTTTTGCATTGTCAGGCTACAGATTTTCCAAACTTTTATGCTCCGCTTACCTTATAAAACTGAATGCCTTTCACAGCACCCAAGTCACCTCTTGAATGCTTTGCTCCTTAGAAATTTCTTCCACCAGATACTCTCAATGATCTCTCTCAAGTTCAAAGTTCCACAGATCTCTAGCGCAAGGAAAAAATGCCACCAGTCTCTTTGCTAAAGCATAACAAGAGTCACCTTTGCTCCAGTTCCCAACAAGTTCCTCATGTCCATCTGAGACCACCTCAGCCTGGACCTTATTGTTCATATCACCATCAGCATTTTTGTCAAAGCCATTCAGCAAGTCTCTAGGAAGTCCCAAACTTTCTTACATTTTCCTGTCTTCTTCTGAGCCCTCCAAACTGTTCCAACCTTTGCCTGTTACTCATTTCCAAAGTTGCTTCCACATTTTCTTCTATCTTTTCAGCCACGCCCCACTCTACTGGTACCAATTTACTGTATTAGTCTGTTTTCACTCTACTGATAAAGACATACCCAAGACTGGAAAGAAAAAGAGGTTTAATTGGACTTACAGTTCCACATGGGTGGGGAGGCCTCAGAATCATGGTGGGAGGCGAAAGACACTTCCTTCTTTTTTTTTTTTTTTTTTTTTGAGACAGAGTCTTGCTCTGTCGCCCAGGCTGGAGAGCAGTGGCACAATCTTGGCTCACTGTAACCCCCACCTCCCAGGTTCAAGCGATTCTCCTGCCTCAGCCTCCTGAGTAGCTAGGATTACAGGCATGCACCACCACGCCTGGCTAATTTTTTTGTATCTTTAGTAGAGATGGGGTTTCACCGTGTTGGCCAGGCTTGTCTCAAACTCCTAACCTCATGATCCGCCCACCTCAGCTTCCCAAAGTGCTGGGATTACAGGCGTGAGCCATCGCGCCTGGCCTGAAAGGCACTTCTTAACATGGTGGTAGCAAGAGAAAATGAGGAAGAAGCAAAAGTGGAAACCCCTGATAAGCCCATCAGAGACTTATTCACTATCAGGAGAATAGTATGGGAAAGACGGGCCCCCATGATTCAATTACCTCCCCCTAGGTCCCTCCCACAACATGTGGGAATTCTGGGAGATACAATTCAAGTTGAGACTTGGGTGGGGACACAGCCAAACCATATCAACACCTCACCCAATTTCTTTCATTATTTTATTTCTTACATTACCATGCTGCATTTGTAAAAGCTAAGAAACCAACATTGATACATTACTGTCAATGAAACACCAGACTTTATTTGAATTTTACCAGTTTTTCTATTACAGTCCCCTTTCTGTTCCAGAATCTCATCTGGGGTACCACATTGCATTGAATGATCATGCCACCTTAGTCTTTGGTCTGTGACAGTTCCTCCGCCTTTCCTTATTTTTTATGACCTTTGCATAAGTCTTGAGTACTGGCTAGGTATCCAATCTGGGTTTGTCTGTTGTTTTTCTCATGACTAGACTGGGGTTATGGGTATTGGGAAAGAATACCACAGAGATGAAGTACCCTTATCGCATTACATCAGTGGGTGCATGCTATCAACACGATACCACTGATAATATGAACCTTCTTGGCTTGGTTGAGGTATTATTGCATTGGCTAGTTTTCTCTAGTATCATGTTGCTAGTTTTCTCTACTATAATGTTAATATTTTTCCCTTTCCCTGTTCTATTCTTTGAAAGCAAGTTACTAAGTATAACCCACCCTCATTTTGGGCAGGGAGGGTGGTTTTGCTCTATTTTCTGGAATGGAGATGTTTTCGGGGTTCCTAAAACCACCTGCAAGTTCAGTGATTCACTAGAAGAACTCACAGGAGTCAGTATATGGCCATACTTGTGGCAAGCTCTTTTATGGCAAAAGAATACAAAGCAGTGTCAGCAAAGGGAAAAGGTGCTTGGGAAGCAGTCTGGAGGAACCCAGGTAGAAGCTTCCAAGAGTCGTCCCCCAGTGGAGTCACACAGGATGCACTGAATTCCCCTTGTGACAAGTTGTGACAACACATGTAAAGTGTAATCTTACAGGGAAGCTTGCCTGAGCCTAGGAGTCCAGGGGTTTTATTGGGGGCTGGTCAAGGAGGCATCCTCTGCCTAGCACATACAGCATTTTCAGACTTCCAGAAGGAAAGAGGTATTCAACATTAATCACATTGTTTGTGTAAACCAGGGGTGTCCAGTCTTTTTGCTTCCCTGATCTACAATGGAAGAAGAAGAATTGTGTTGGGCCACACATAAAATAGACTAACAGTAACAATAGCTGATGAGCTAAAAAAGAAAAAAAATCACAAAAAAATCTCATAATGTTTTAAGGAAGTTTTATAATTTGTGTTGGGCTGCATTCAAAGCCGTCTTGGGCTGCTTGCAGCCCGTCTGCCGTGGGTTGGACAAGCTTGGTGTAAACCATTTAGGCACAGTGAACCACTTTTATAATTTATGGAAGGGTTTTATACCAACGGAGGAAACTGTTTACTAGTCAAGTTTCCAGCCCCCAGCCAGGGCCAACCTTATGAGGAGGCCTTTCTAATGATAATAGCCTCAGGCCTTCAGTGTTCTTTTCTATATAGGGAAGTATCTACATATTACTTTTACTACCCATTTTTATTTTGAGAAAAGAAAGGGAATCAGATAAAAAATATAGCACATAATAACAGAAGCTATATGATAGTTAGAATGACAAAATGAAATTTAAGATCAGATCGGAGTGTTTAATTTCCTTCTAATAAAATATGTGGCAATCTGGACCATTTTTCTGGTTCTTTTAGTATTTCTCTTGCCAATTTTTTAACATTGCTATAAAAATATTGCTCATATTGCAACTTTTGGAGCATTTCATAATTTTAAAAATGCCTCTGGGTTATGAGGCATTTATTGCCAAATAATTAGAAGAAAGCTGCATAAATTTTCAGTAATAAGTCATAACCTAACAACCAAAACCTGGGTGGATATCTTAGAAAGTAATTACTAAGATTTAGGCCGGGCGCGGTGGCTCACGCCTGTAATCCCAGCACTTTGGGAGGCCGAGGCGGGTGGATCACGAGGTCAGGAGATAGAGACCATCCTGGCTAACACGGTGAAACCCCGTCTCTATTAAATATATACAAAATTAGCCGGGGGTAGTGGCGGGCGCCTGTATTCCCAGCTACTCGGCAGGCTGAGGCAGGAGAATGACGGGAACCCAGCGGGCGGAGCTTGCAGTGAGCAGAGAGAGCGCCACCGCACTCCAGTCTGGGCGACAGGGCGAGACTGCATCTCAAAAAAAAAGAAAGAAAGAAAGAAAGTAATTACTAAGATTTAAGACACAATATGGCCGGGCGCAGTGGCTCACGATTATAATCCCAGCACTTTGGGAGGCCGAGGTGGGCGGATCACAAGGTCAGGAGATCGAGACCATCCTAGCTAACACAGTGAAACCCCATCTCTACTAAAAACACAAAAAATTAGCTGGATGTGATGGCGGGAGCCTGTAGTCCCAGCTACTTGGGAGGCTGAGGCAGGAGACTCACTTGAACCCAGGAGGCGGAGGTTGCAGTGAGCTGAGATCACACCACCGCACTCCAGTCTGGGCGACAGAGCGAGACTCCATTTCAAAAAAAAAAAAAAAAAAGGAAAAGACACCATATTTATTAGTCATCTACTTTCTTTTAATAGGAAAAACGTGGTCTTCGAGAAATGCGAGTTCTTGAAAATTTGAAGAACATGATCCATGAAACAAATGAACATACTCTTCCCAAATGTAGAGACACAATGCGGGACAGCCTCAGCCAGGTTCTCCAGAGATGTGAGTCAGCAATTCTTTTTTAATTGCTTTTCATTTCAAATGAATGCTACACCAAAATGTATTTTCTTGGGTATTATGGGGGGAGGTGGAGAGGGAGAGGGAAGCTCAGTTACAGAGAAAGTGGTTTTCTAGTGATTAATGTGTGTTGCCATTAATTAATCTCCAAACAGCATTAATCTCCAAAGTGAGATGTGTGCATCTGTGGTACACGAGACAATCTGTTTAGTATGTGAGAAAGTCAAAACAGTTTTCACCTATTTTTACAAATTTTTTTTTTTTTTTGGAGGCACAGTCTCACTCTGTGTCCCAGGCTGGAGTGCAGTGGTGCAATCTCAGCTCACTACAACCTCGGCCTCCCAGATTCAAGTGGTTCTTGTGCCTCAGCCTCCTGAGTAGCTGAGACTACAGGTGCGTCTCACCATGCCTGGCTAATTTTTGTATTTTTAGTAGAGATGGGGTTTCACCATGTTGGCCAAGGTGGTCTTGATCTCTTGACTCGTGATCCACCTGCCTCGGCCTCCCAAGTGCTGGGATTACAGGCGTGAGCCACTGTGCCCAGCCAGGAATCTCGGTTCTTGACTACAATCTGTGTTCCTATTTTTGGCTGCTACTTTTCAAAGTTTATAGTATGCAATTATAATTCTTTACTGTTTAGTAAATGGTGAAGTTTTTTTACTTTTAAAAAACTATTTATTTTGAGAGGCATTTAAAGGACTAAGTTTGTGTGATTTTACTTCATTCTGCCATCTTTACCTAGAAATCTTTAAGAACAGACTGTAATTAAAAATACAAACGAATTTATATAGCACTTTACTAGTTAGAATTTTCACCTGTATTTTTTCATTTTTTTAATCATAACCCAGTAAGATAAATGTTTATCATCTTCCCCACCTTACAGTTGAGAAAACCGAAATTTATAATGGTTGAACACTCTAGATTCTCCAATAATAATTGGAGGAACTACCATCCAAGCCTAGCTCTTCTGCCTCCAGAGCTCAAGTTCCACTTCAGGATGTTACTTCTGTATATCTTTGAAAAGGTAGTAAGAAAAGTCTGCCTTTATTCCTGGATTATCACTTTTTCTTGGATTGCCTCCTACAACACAGGCTCCTCCTTCTCAGTCTACTTTGTTAGTTCCCACTTAACTTCACGACTTTTCACCATGTGGTGCTCGGAGGCTTGGTTCCGCAACTGCTTTCTTGTTTAAACTCGCTTGGTGAGCTTATACAGAATCACGCCTTTCAATATCATCTGTATACCAATTAATAATTAAATTCCATATTTGTGGTTTTAGCCTGGTCCCATACCCCTGTCTTCCCAACTAAAATTTGAGTCCTGTAAGCTCAGGACTTTTGTTGTTGTTGTTCACTGTGGTATCTCAGGCACCTAGAACAGTGCCTGCTACTTTATAGCCACTCACTAGTAATTTGTTCATTGAAATGAATGAGTGAGCATTCGGCCAAAATCTGTTCCTAATGCCAAGCTGAAATTATTTTCTTTTTTTTTTTAAAGCTAATACTACATTGACTTAGCTTTTTAAAAATAACTTTACTTTTGTATTATTGTATAATGTACGTATTTTGGGGGTACTTATGGTAATTTAATGCTTTCATATAATTTGGAAAGACCAAATTAGTGTAATTCACATATTCATCACCTTAAATATTTGTCCTTTCTTTTTGTTAAAAACATTCAAATTATTCTCTTCTAGCTATTTTGAATTATATAATAGGTTATTGTAAGCTATAGTCACCCTACTGATATATCAAATACTAGGTCTTATTTCTTCCATCAGACCATATATTTATATCCATTAATCAACCTTTCCTCATGCCCTCCTCCTCACTATACTTCCTGGCCTCTGGTAACTACCAGTCTACTCTCTATATTCATGAGATCCATTTCTTTAGCTCTCACATACGAGTGAGAGCATGCAATATTTGTCTTTCTGTGCTTGGCTTATTTCACTTAACATAATAACATCTAGTTCTGTCCATGTGGCTGCAGATGATGGGATTTCATTCATTTTTATGGCTGAATAATATTCCATTGTGTATATATACCACATTTCCTTACCCATTCATGGGAATTTAGGTTGGTTCCATATTTTGGCTAGTGCTTCAATAAACACGTAAGTGCAGATGTCTCTCTCCTTTTCTTTTAGATATATACCCAGTATTGTGGAATTGCTGGATCATATGGTAGTTCTATTTTTAGTTTTTTGAGGAACCTCCAAACTGTTCTCCATAGTGGTTGTACTAATTTATATTCTGACCAATAGTATACGAGAGTTCCCTTTTCTCCACATCCTCGCCAGTATCCATTATTCTTCATCTTTTTAATAAAAGCCATTTTGGCTGGGTGTGGTGGCCCACGCCTGTAATCCCAGCACTTTGGGAGGCCGAGGCGGGTGGATCATGAGGTCAGGAGATCAAGACCATCCTGGCTAACACAGTGAAACCCTGTCTCTACTAAAAATACAAAGAAGTAGCCAGGCATGGTGGCGGGTGCCTGTAGTCCCAGCTACTCAGGAGGCTGAGGCAGGAGAATGGCGTGAACCCGGGAGACAGAGCTTGCAGTGAGCCAAGATAGCGCCACGGCACTCCAGCCTGGGCAACAGAGTGAGACTCCGTCAATAATTAATTAATTAATTAATTAAAAGCCATTTTAACTAGAGATGCTATTTCATTGTGGTCTGATTTGCATTTCTCTGATAATTAGTGATCTTGGGCACTTTTTTCATATTCCTGTTGGCCATTTTATGTCTTTTGAGAAATGTCTCTTTTGAAATAGATCTTTGCCTATTTTTAAAATTGGATTCTTTGGGATTTTTGCTATATTGTTGTTTGAGCTCCTTATATATTCTGGTTATTAATCTGTTGTCAGATGAATAGTTTGCTAATGCTTTCTCCTCCTGTGGGTTGTCTCTTCAACTTGCTGATTATTTTCTTTGCGTCACGGAAGCGTTTTAGCTTGATGTAACCCCATTTGTCTGTTTTTGCTTTGGTTGCCTTACTTTTGAGGTCTTACAGAAAAAAGTCTTTGCCCAGACCAATGTCCTGGAGTGTTTCCCCCTAGGCTTTCTTCTAGTAATTTCACAGTTTCAGGTCTTAGATTTAAGTCTTTAATCCATTTTTATTTGATTTTTGTGGATGGTGAGAGACAGAGGTTTAGTTTCATTCTTCTTCATATGGATATCCAGTTTTCCCAGTCATACTGATATCCAGTTTTCCCAGCACTGGTTATCGAAGAGCCTGTCCTTTCCCCATTGTATGTTCTTGGTGCCTTTGTTGAAAATGAGCTGGCTATAAATGTGTGAGTTTATATCTGGGTTATTGATTCTGTGCCATGCATGGCCTGTGTGTTTTTATGCTGGTATCATGCTGATTTGGTTACTATAGCTTTGTATTAATAATATGCTTTGTAATCAGGTAGTGTGATGCCTCCAGCTTTGTTCTTTTTGCTCAAAATTGCTTTGGCTATTCAGGGTCTTTCGTGATTCTGTATAAATTTTAGGATTTATTTTTCCTGTTTCTATGAAAAATGTCGTTGGTATTTTGATAGGGATTGCATTGAGCCTGTAAATTGCTTTGGGTATTATTGTCACTTTAATGGCATTCTTCCAGTTACAGAGCATGGATATCTTTCCATTTTTGTGTGCCCTCTTCAATTTTTTTCATCAAAGTTTTATAGTTTTCCTTGTATAGATCTTTTACTTCTTTGGTTCAGTTGATTGCTAGGTATTTTATGTTCTTTGTAGCTATTGTAAATAGGGTTGCTTTCTTGGTTTCTTTTTCAGATTGCTTGCTGTTGGCATATATAAATGCTATGGATTTTGTATGTTGATTTTGTATCCTGCAACTTTACTGAATACATTTATTAGTTCCAAGAGCTTTTTGGTGAGTCAATAGGTTTTTCTAAATATAAGATCATGTGATCTGCAAACAAAGCTAATTTGACTTAATACCTTTCCAATTCGTGTGCCCTTATTTCTTGCCTAATTGCCCTGGCAGTACTTTCAGTATTATGTTGAATAAAAGTGGTGAATGTGAGCATCCTTTTCTTGTTCTGGATCTTATAGGAAAGGCTCTCAATTTTTCCTCATTCAGTATGATGTTAGCTGTGGGTTTGCCCACAGCTATTTTGAGCTATGTTCTTTTTATACCCAGTTTGTTGAGAGTTTTTATCATAAAGGAAAGTTGGATTTTATCAAATGCTTTTTTAGCATCTGTTGAGGTTACCATATGGGTTATTTATAGATTTGCATATGTTGAACCATCCTGCCATTCCTGGGATAAATCCTGCTTGATCATGGTGAATGATCTTTTTAACATGTTGTTGAATTTGGTTTGCTACTATTTTGTTGAGGATTTTTGCCTTTACATTCATTAGTGATATTGCCTGTAGTTTTCTCTTTTTTAATTCTTTTGTCTTTGTCTGATTTTGATATTGAGGTAATGCTGGCCTTGTAGAATGAGTTGGGGATATTCTCTCCTCTTCAGGTTTTTTGAAGAACTTGAGTAGAATTGGTGTTAATTCTTCTTTAAATGTTTGCTGGAATTCAGCAAAGAAGCCATTAAGTCCTGGGCTTTTCTTCGATAGGAGACTTTATCATGGCTTCAACCTTGTTATTCATTATTAGTTTGTTGAGGCTTTCTGTTCCCTCATGGTTTGTACTTGGTAGCTTGTATGTATTTAGGAATTTATTTCTTCTAGGTTTTCCAATTTGTTGGCGTATAGTTGTTGATAATAGTTTAATGACTCTGATGTTTTTAGCCTCAATTTTATTTATTTCTGCTCTGGTCTCTATTATTTCTTTCCTTCTCCTAATTTTTTGTTCCTTGTTAGGTTGTTTATTTGAAGTCTTTCTATTTTTCTGATACAGGCTTTTGCTGCTATAAATTTCCCTGTTGGTACTGTTTTTGCTGTATCCCATAGATTTGGGTATGTTGTATTTTCATTTTATTTGTTTCAAGAAATTTTTAAATTTCCTTCTTAATTTCTTCCCTGACTCATTGGTTGTTCAGGAGCATGTTGTGTGTGTGTATTTTCCAAGTTTCCTCTTGTTACTGATTTTTAATTTTATTCCATTATGGTCAGAAAATATACCTGATAATGATCTCTATCTTTTCTGAATTTGTTAAGACTTGTTTTGTGGCCTAAGATATGATCTGTTCCAGAGAATGTTCTGTGTGCTGATGAAAAGAACGTGTAACCTGCTGCAGTTGGATGAAGGTTCTGTAAGTGTCATTAAGGCCTGGTCGAGTTTGTAGTTGAACTCTCCAATGTTTCTCTGTTGATTTTCTGTCTGGATGATCTGTCCATTACTAAGAATGGGATGTTGAAGTCTCCTGCGGCTATTGCATTCTATCTCTCCCTTTAGATCTATTAATGTTTCCTGTATGTACTTGGGAGTTCCAGTGTTAAGTACATAGATATTTATAATTGTTACAACCCTCTTGCTGAATTGACCCCTGTATGATTATATAGTGACCTTCTTTGTCTCTTTTTGCAGTCTTTGATTTGTAGTCTGTTTTATTTGATGTAAGTATAGTTACTCCTGCTCTTTTTGGTCTCCAGTTGCATGGAATATCTTTTTCTGGTTGCGTGGAAATGTAAGACCCAACTAACATTTACTGAACATTTCACCCAACTGCTGCAGAATACACGTTCTTTTCATTAGCACATAGAACTTGCATGTCTTTATAGGTGAAGTGCCTTTCTCGTAGGCAGTATAGAGGTGGGTCTTATTTATTCAGCCACTCTATGCCTTTTTTTTAAAAAAAAAAAAAAGATTTTTATTCCTTTTTGAAAATTTTAATAGGCTTTTGGGGAACAGTGGTGTCTGGGTATATGGATAAGTTCTTAAGTGGTGATTTCTGAGATTTTGGTGTACACTGTACCCAATGTGTAGTCTTTTATCCTTTACCTCCCTCCTATCCTTCCCCCTGAGTCCCCAAAGTTCACTGTATTATTATTATGCTTTTGTGTCCTCATAGCTTAGCTCCCACTTATAAGCGAGAACATAACGACGTTTGGTTTTCTATTCCTGAGTTACTTTACTTAGAATAATGGTCTGTAATTCCATCCAGGTTGCTGTGAATGTCATTATTTCATTCCTTTTTATGGCTGAATAGTATTCCATGGTGTGTGTGTATATGTGTATGTGTGTGTGTGTGTGTATGCATATGTGTATATATATGTATATATCACATTTTCTTTATCCACTTGTTGATTGATGGGCATTTGGGCTGGTTCCATATTTTTGCAGTTGAGAATTGTGCTGCTGTAAACATGCATGTGCAAGTGTCTTTTTCATATAATGACTTCTTTTCCTCTGGGTAGATACCCAGTAGTGGGATTGCTGGATCAAATGGTAGATCTACTGTTAGTTCTTTAAGGAATCTCCACACTGTCTTCCACAGTGGTTGTACTAGTTTACATTCCCACCAGCAGTGTAAAAGCGTTCCCCTTTCACCACATCCACACCAACATCAATTCTTTTTTTATTATTATTATACTTTAAGTTCTAGGGTACATGTGCACAACATGCAGGTTTGATACATAGGTATATATGTGCCATGTTGGTTTGCTGTACCCATCAACTCATTTACGTTAGGTATTTCTCCTAATGCTATCCCTTCCCCAGCCCTCCACCCGCCGACAGGCCCCAGCATGTGATGTTCCCTGCCCTGTGTCCAAGGGGGCTCATTGTCAATTCCCACCTATTAGTGAGAACATGCAGTGTTTGGTTTTCTGTCCTTGTGATAGTTTGCTGAGAATGATGGTTTCCAGCTTCATCCATGCCCCTGCAAAGGACATAAACTCATCCTTTTTTATGGCTGCATAGTATTCCATAGTGTATATGTGCCACATTTTCTTAATCCAGTCTATCATTGATGGACATTTGGGTTGGTTCCAAGTCTTTGCTATTGTGAATAGTGCTGCAATAAACATACGTGTGCATATGTCTTTATAGTAGCATGATTTATAATCCTTTGGGTACATACCCAGTAATGGGATTGCTGGGTCAAATGGTAATTCTAGTTCTAGATCCTTGAGGAATCACCACACTGTCTTCCACAATGGTTGAACCAATTTACACTCCCACGAACAGTGTAAAAGCGATCCTGTTTCTCCACATCCTTTCCAGCGTCTGTTGTTTCCTGACTTTTTAATGATTGCCATTCTAACTGGTGTGAGATGGCATCTCATTGTGGTTTTGATTTGCATTTCTTTGATGACCAGTGACGATGAGCATTTTTTCATGTGTCTGTTGGCTGCACAGATGTCTTCTTTTGAGAAGTGTCTGTTCATATCCTTTGCCCACTTTTTGATGGCGTTGTTTGTTTTTCTCTTGTAAATTTTTTTGAGTTCTTTGTAGATTCTGGATATTAGCCTTTTGTCAGATGGGTAGATTGCAAAAATTTTCTCCCATTCTGTAGGTTGCCTGTTCACTCTGATGGTAGTTTCTTTTGCTGTGCAGAAGCTCTTTAGTTTAATTAGATCCCATTTGTCTATTTTGGCTTTTGTTGCCATTGCTTTTGGTGTTTTAGCCATGAAGTCCTTGTCCATGCCTATGTCCTGAATGGTATTGCCTAGGTTTTCTTCTAGGGTTTTTATGGTTTTAGGTCTAACGTTTAAGTCTTTAATCCATCTTGAATTAATTTTTGTATAAGGTGTAAGGAAGGGATCCAGTTTCAGCTTCCTACATATGGCTAGCCAGTTTTCCCAGCACCATTTATTAAATAGGGAATCCTTTCCATATTGCTTGTTTTTTTCAGGTTTGTCAAAGATCAGATGGTTGTAGATGTGTGGCATTATTTCTGAGGCGTCTGTCCTGTTCCATTGGTCTGTATATCTGTTTTGGTACCAGTACCATGCTGTTTTGGTTACTGTAGCCTTGTAGTATAGTTTTAAGTCAGGTAGCTTGATAGCTCCAGCTTTGTTCTTTTTGCTTAGGATTGTCTTGGCAATGCAGGCTCTTTTTTGGTTCCATATGAAGTTTAAAGTAGTTTTTTCCAGTTCTGTGAAGAAGGTCATTGGTAGCTTAATGGTGATAGCATTGAATCTATAAATTACCTTGGGCAGTATGGCCATTTTCACGATATTGATTCTTCCTATCCATGAGCATGGAGTATTCTTCCATTTGTTTGTGTCTTCTTTTATTTTGGCAAGCAGTGGTTTGTAGTTCTCCTTGAAGAGGTCCTTCACATCCCTTATACGTTGGATTCCTAGGTATTTTATTCTCTTTGTAGCAATTGTGAATGGGAGTTCACTCATGATTTGGCTCTCTGTTTGTCTGTTAATGCTGTATAGGAATGCTTGTGATTTTTGTACATTGATTTTGTATCCTGAGACTTTGCTGAAGTTGCTTATCAGCTTAAGGAGATTTTGGGCTGAGACGATGGGGTTTTCTAAATATACAATCATGTCATCTGCAAACAGGGACAATTTGACTTCCTGTTTTCCTAATTGAATACCCTTTATTTCTTTCTCGTGCCTGATTGCCCTGACCAGAACTTTCAACACTACATTGAATAGGAGTGGTGAGAGAGGGCGTCCTTGTCTTGTGCCCGTTTTCAAAGGGAATGCTTCCAGTTTTTGCCCATTCAGTATGATACTGGCTGTGAGTTTGTCATAAATAGCTCTTATTATTTTGAGATACATTCCATCAATTTTTTTTTAAATTTTTTAAATTATGGCCATTCTTGCAGGAGTAAGGTCTTATCGAATTCTGGTTTTGCTTTGCATATCCCTAAAATTATTGATATTGAGCATTTTTCATATGTTTGTTGGCCATTTGTATATCTTCTTTTGAGAATTGTCTATTCACATCCTTAGCCCATTTTTGATGGCATTGTTTTTCTCTTGCTGATTTGTTTGAATTCTTTGTAGACTCTGCATATTAGTCTTTTGTGGGATGCATAGTTTGCGAAGATTTTCTCCCACCCTGTGTGTTGTCTGTTTGCTGATTATTTCTTTTGCTGTGCAGAAGCTTTTTAGTTTAATTGAGTCCCATCTATTTGTCTTTGTTTTTGTTGTATTTGCTTTTGGGTTCTTGGTCATGAAGTCTCTGCTCGAGCCAATGTCTAGAAGGGTTTTTCCAATGTCATCTTCTAGAACTCTTATGGTTTTAGGTCTTAGATTTATGTCTTTGATCCATCTTGAGTTGATTTTTACATAAGGTGAGAGATGAGGATCCAGTTTCATTCTTCTACATGTGGCATGCCAATTATTCCAGCAACATTGGTTGAATAGGGTGTCCTTTCTCTAGTTTATGTTTTTGTTGGCTTTGTCAAATATCAGTTGGCTGTAAGTATTTGGCTTTCTTTTTGGGTTCTCTATTCTGTTCCATTGGTCTATGCGCCTATTTTTATGCCAGTTCCATGCTGTTTTGGTGACTATAGCCTTGTAGTGTAGTTTGAAGTCAGGTAGTGTGATGACCTCAGGTTAGTTATTTTTGCTTAATCTTGCTTTGGCTATGTGGGCTCTTTTTTGGTACCATCTGAATTTTAGAATTTTTTTTTCTAGTGCTGTGAATATTGATAATGGTATTTTGATGGGAATTGCATTGAATTTGTAGATTGCTTTTGGCATTATGGACATTTCACAATATTTATTCTACCCATCCATGAGCATGGGATGTATTTCCATATGTGTCGTCTGTGATTTCTTTCAGTCATGTTTTGTAGTTTTCCTTGTAGAGGTCTTTCACCTCCTTGGTTAGGCCCAAGTATTTTGCTTTTTTTGCAGCTATTCTAAAAGGGGTTGAGCTCTTTAATTTGATTCTCAGCTTGGTTTCTATTGGTGTATAGCAGTGCTCCTGATTTGTGTACATTGATTTTGTATCCTGAAACTTTCTGAATTCATTTACCAGTTATAGGAGCTTTTTGGATGAGTCTTAAGGGTTTTTTAGGTATACGATAATATCATCAGTGACTAGTGACAATTTTACTTCCTCTTTACCGATTTGGATGCCCTTTATTTCTTTCTGTTGTCTGACTGCTCTGGCTAGAACTTCCAGTACTATGTTGAATAGAAATGGTGAAAGTAGGTATTCTTGTCTTGTTCCGGTTCTCAGGGAGAGTGCTTTCAAGTTTTCCCATTCAGTATAATGTTGGCTGTGGGTTTGTCGTAGATGGCTTTTACTACCTTAGGGTATGTCCCTTCTATACCGGTTTTGCTGAGGATTTTAATCATAAAGTGATGCTGGATTTTGTCAGTTGCCTTTTCTGAGTGTATTGAGATGATCATGTGATTTTTTTTTTTTGACTGTTGGTCTGTTGCTCAGGCTGGAGTGCAGTGGCGTGATCTTGGCTCACTGCAACCTCTGTCTTCTGGGTTCAAGCCATTCTCCTGCCTCAGCCTCCGGACTAGCTGGGATTACAGGCGCCTGCCACAATACCCAGCTAATTTTTCTATTTTTAGTAGAAAGGGGGTTTCACCATGTTGTTCAGGCTGGTCTCGAACTCCTGACGTCAAGTGATCCACCCGCCTTGGCATCCCAAAGTGTTGGGATTACAGGAGTGAGCCACTGTACCTGGCCTTTCTTGAGCTCACTGACTCTCCTCTGCTTGATTCATTCTACTGTTGAGAGTCTGTAATGGATTTTTCAGTTCAGCAAATGTATTTCCCAGTTCCAAGATTTCTGTTTGATTTTTAAAAATTATTTTAATCTGGCCAGGCGTGGTGGCTCACGCCTGTAATCCCAGCACTTTGGGAGGCCGAGGTGGGTGGATCACGAGGTCAGGAGTTCAAGACCAGCCTGACCAACATGGTAAAACCCTGTCTCTATTAAGAATACAAAAATTAGCCGGGCGTGGTGGTGCATGCCTGTAGTCCCATCTACTCAGGAGGCTGAGGCAGGAGAATCGCTTGAACCCAGGAGGCAGGGGTTGTGGTATGCCGAGATTGTGCCACTGCACTGCAGCTTGGGCAACAGAGTGAGACCCCATCTCAAAAGAAAAAAAATTGTTCTAATCTCTTTGTTAAATTTCTGAATTTTTTTTCTGTGTTATCCTGGAGATCACTGAGTTTCCTTAGAACTGCTATTTTGCATTGTTGGTCAGAGAGTTCATATATTGCCATCTCACTGAGGTCATTCACTGACTGGTTCTTTGCTTTGTCTGTTTAGGGAGGTCTTCATTCCTTGTTTGCTGTTGTTTCTTGTGGATGTACATCTGCGTCTTGGCATTGAAGCATTAGTTATTTATTCCCATCTCCTCTGTCTTGTTTCTGTTTTTATTGGATACATTTGCTTAGAGAGTCTTTGTATTTTACCTGCAGATTTCTTTTTTTCTTTCACTAGATCACTGCTTCTTTTCAGCACTAGACTGCACCTTAAACCCAAGTCTGCCTTAGTTCTAGTAAACGATCAGAATGCCACTCATCTTGAATGGGGGAGGTCCGCAAAGGGATATCTCGTTAGTGTGGGAAGGCTGGCTAGGCAGCCTCTGTTCCCAGGGGACCTGGGGAACGAACCTCGTGCAGTGTGGTGGTGCTGAGTAGCCACTTTGATTTGGTGTCTCCTTTGGCTGAGTTACAGAGCAGAGTTTCTGAAAGACTGGGGGTGGAAGTGGCACCTCTCTCCTTTTTTTCTGGCTGTCCTTGAGGATATGTCTGCCCTCGGGTATCACAAATGCTTTCCATGGGTTAAGGCAGGGACACTTCTCCTGCCAGGGAGCCCAAGATGATGGGGAAGCAGATCATCCAGCATGATCCCTCTTTTAGCATAGAAACCATGAGTCAGGGAGATTTCCCATGTGCTTGGTGCCAAGGCAGGTTGGGGAAGGAATGTTACAGAGATGGAAGTCCAATTCTGTTCCTGTCTCCTCAGAGTGTTTTCATTTCTCTGTGGCCCTGAGAACTGTCTTATCCTCATGTTTGAGTTCTGGGGTATTGCCGGCACTGTATACCTGATTTTGGTTTTCTGTTGTGGAGAGTGAAGCTAGCTCGCTTCTATATCCGCATTTTGGAACTGCAAGTTGTGAAATTATTTTCTTACGTGTGTATTTGAGGTTTACTTATAGACACCATGATAGAATGAATTTGTTTCTTTTTTATGTGAGGAAAATAGAACATTGTTAACTGTGGTATGCGGCACAAATCTACTTGAATAATCTTTTGGTTAAGAGAAAAAGCACTTGATAAATTCTTGACTTTTTTTTTTAAGTCAATATAGTCTCCTAAAACACTGAGATAACAGGGGAAATGACTTCGTACTGAGTTACAACCAGTAAGTGTTGCAGATGTGATAGGAAGGTTCAGAGAAATGGGCCTTCTTGGTGTCACTAATTGTTCAAAAAGGGAATGTTTGGTGCAGTCTGGTGATTGTCTTTGACTTTAGAAAAGCAAATTTCATAAATTCAGAAAGTAAACCTTTTCCGTTGTGTGCCTAAAGAGTTAAAAGGTGAATTGCTTCAAAGGGACTGTAATTTCTAAAAGTGGATATTCTGTCTAAACATAACAATCCTGATGAGGAACAAAAGTGCACCTTTGTCAGATGTGTTCTGATTAGAATTTTAAAGGACATAACAGATGACAAAGTAAGTGGCAGAAGCCTGTAACTCTTTTTTTAGGTTAGGCTCAGAATCTTCTGAAAGTGATGAAGCTCCTAACAACTGCCAAATGGATTTTAAGTTATGTTCTCAGAGCCAGTGGGGGAAAAAAACAACGCAGGAAATGATAGAAGCACTGCTTGGGAAAGATGATGTCATGTTAATATGCCACAGAAAGAAGGCAGAGCTAATCAACTCCTGTTTTTTTTTTTTTAAATATTTTCTTTTTTAAAAATCAATGATTGGGAACCTAATTTTCAATACTTAAATATTATCTTTGATATAGCTAAAATTAATGGTTACTGATAAAAACACAACTTTTTGAAAACAAAATTCTTCTCTTTTACCATATTCCCAGAGGGAGAGGCCTAACATTTCTCTGAAAGAGAAATCACAGTCCCTGCCCTATTGTGGAACTTGTGACCTAGTTGGGGCCGGATTGGGGTGGGGTAGGAAGACATAATTGTAAAACAATTAGACAAACCTCCAATTTCAGCAAAGGCAAGATATTAATAAATGGTAGGATACACACACACCTGATTAAGGAATTTCAAATAGGGAAAATCCTCAGAGGGAAGGGACTAATCAGGAGGGCTTTGTGAAGACAGTAAACCTTGAACTGGGCTTTTGAAACAAAACAGTTTAATTAGTGGAAAGAAATAAGGAAAGGATTTTCTTTAGGGATAGTACAATAAATAGAATATTGGTGACAATGAGCAGTTCTTGATTGCTTATTGTATTTTTTTTTTTTTTTTTGAGATGGAGTCTCGCTCTGTTGCCCAGGCTGGAGTGCAGTGGCACGATCTTGGCTCACTGCACCAGGTTCGAGCGATTGTCTTGGCTCAGCCTCCCGAGTAGCTGGGACTACAGGCATGTGCCACTATTCCCAGCTAATTTTTGTATTTTTAGTAGAGACAGAGTTTCACCATGTTGGTCAGGCTAGTCTCGAACTCCTGACTTCAGGTGATCTGCCCGCCACGGCCTCCCAGAGTGCTGGGATTACAGGCGTGAGCCACCGTGCCCGGCCTGACTGCTTATTTTATATGAAGAACTACTCTAAGTGGTTATCATTATTAATATTGAAATGATTTACTTTTAAGCATAGTATGTACTGTGTTCTCATTTAAATTTTATGTCACTTCTGAAGCCCTGTTATTAGTTGTTATGTTCATTTTACAGATGAGGAACTAAGTTGCTGAGAGATAGGAGGACCAACAAGAACAGTGCCTGGCACAAAGCACATGCTCAGTAAACATTTGTCAAATGAATAATTGAGCGAGCAAACATGCCCAAGATCATTCACACAACTGAGTGCCAAATTTGACTAAGGCTCACTCTTAACCTGCACACTACATGTCTTTATTTGGATAAAGTAAGTAAGAACATTTATGAACAGAAAATGCATCTGGCGGTGAAAAGGTTTAAATAACTGAAGAATTACAACTGGTTTCATTGATGAAATAATTAAAGAGGCGGTAGAGTGTTGATAGTAAGAGCCAAGTCTTTACAGCCAGAAAGATCTGACTTCAAATCCTGTTTCCTGTACTTATTAGTTTTATAACCTCCTTGATTGACAGCGTCACCTCTCTGTACCTCAGTTTTGTCATCTGTAAAATGGAATAGTGATCATTTCCTGATAGGAAAGTGGGATTAAGAGGGATAATACATAGATCTTGGCACTTAGTAAATAATAAATAATTACAATAATTATTACTAGCAGTTCTTAAGAAAGAGAAATGACTTAATGGAGATGGTCCAGAGGAAGTTGAATCTTGCACTGGCAGCCAGGATAAATTAGAAGTCAAGAGAGCACAGGCAAGAATAGTAGAAAGTTGTTGAAGTGATGTGGTTACCAGGTACTGCAGTGAGAGAGCTGTAGACAATCTGTCATTGGAGTTAGTATTTAAATGCCCTTCAGCTTGTAGCTCAAAGCTCAAGAATTATGGTTGTTCTAATTATGACATCCTGAATATATTGGCAAAACTTATTTTCCCCTTCTGGCCATCCCACCACCACCAAAATAATATCAGTTCTTTGCATAGTTTTTTGAGATCTAAAACAATTCATGTACTCTCCACACACACTCCTCCCCCAGGTATGTGTTTCCTTGAACATGGTCTGCTGACTGAAAACCCATGTCTTTTTCATTTCAGTGCAAGCAGCTAATGACTCAGTCTGTAGACTCCAACAGAGGGAACAGGAACGAAAAAAGGTAAAAGATCATTTAGATAATGAGGCATATAATTCTTGCATCTTTATTATCATATTATTAGCAATTGCTTTTGATCAGAAAATTCTCTGAATGCAGTGAGTTTTACATATTTTAAAATGGCTGATTCATTGAAGATGTGTTGAGGAGGTGTGGTCATACCATCAATATTTTTATAATTGAAATTGCAGAACTCTCTTTTTTCCTTTTCAACATTTCCATCTTTTCCCTGAAAGTGGTATTTGTCTCCTGGAGGAGAGAGAAATTAGGACTTTTACATGGAACAACAAATAACCACCAGATTGGAGATATAAATCTTTCCTCTGAGCCTGAAGTATTGAGTATATTCTGTATATTTCTTCTAGAAAGGGAAGCATTCATGCCTGTGTAGGTTATTTAATGAATAGCCATAGGAGTATTTGAATCATTTGCTGGGCAGTGCTTTGCTTATTTGAATTATATGTTAACTAAATTCAGATGTGGAAAAATAGCACAAGAATTTAAGTTCCTGTGATAATTTGGTGGTATTCACTTGCAATTTTCATAAAGTGTTTTTGTAACTTATTCATTGCTCTAAACTAATGAATATACATCTTACACTTATTAAGAAACATTGAAAAGACTAAGTCACTGAAAATAATGCCCTTTTGCTTGTATGTGTGTGTATCGACAAATGTTACTGTCTCCATTTATCTGGAATGTGTTGTGGTTAATCCACAATAATAGTTCACATCTGTCACTGTATAAAAATATAATGGAATGAACCTTCTCAGAGTTTCAGTTTCTGTACCCTCTGCTCAAATCTAAATGTTGATGTAAATTTTGAAAATTCAACAATGTGATAATTGAAAGGACTTGACATTTAAGACAGATGGGAATGCTGCCCAAGGATAGTGGGACCCCGCAGGCCAGTCAGGAAGCAGGGCCACAGCTGAGCTCCTGGATGAAGTGGCAAGGCAGAGCTGTGGTCAGGGAAGTTTGTGTCAGGATGGGGTGCTTGCACAGCGTGCAGAGAGTGCTGGAAAGGCAGGCAGGGCTGGGGACGTAAGTGGACCATGCCAGGCTGGACAGCAGATATATTTTTAATTCCTCTACTTTGCTAGGTGCCACAGGGGATGATCGATTTTGTTAACTTTAGGGCTGTTCCTACACTTAAGGAGCTAAAAGTCTTGGAGTCCCAAAGCACTAACACTATAATAATAGAGGATAAAGTAAGAACTATGATCATTACTAAGAACTTTTTGGGATCTTGGCAAATAAAGTGTAATTTATTAGGAAGATAATGGCATTCAAGCCTGACCTTGAGCAGAAGGAACTTAAATTATAATTTGAAGAGTTTCTCTTGTCACTTTGAAGTATTTCTACATGTGGTGTATTAGCCCTGTGTATAGTAGGAAGATGACCAGATTGGGTAAGAAATACCTGGCTTCTTTTATGTCTGGTGTTGCTTCCCTGTACTAGCTAGCTATAAGCCCTTGGACAAATCCTTGAGCTTCCAGCTCCTCGTTTGCAAACTAATGATCTATTCTACTTATCTGATAGATTGATGGGTAAATTGCATTATAAAAATTATTTGAAATGACTTTGAAAATTGTTATCTTACTATCAAAATGTAGGGCAGCATTTTTTTCCTGCCAGCTCACTGTTTGTTTAAGATGCGAGCGGTCACCGTGTGGGTAAGATCCCTGCTGTAGTCTGTTAGAGTCTGTGAAGCACTTGAGAATCCTTCCCATTGATGATTTTGCAAATTGAAAAGTGCTGTCTGTCCCATGGTTTAAAAAGCAGTGGCCACAAGAAATAAGAATATTTTAATATTTAATATGAAGTACATTTCTTTTTTTTTTTTTTTTTTTTTGAGATGGAGTCTCACTCCGTCACCCAGGCTGGAGGGCAGTGGTGCAGTGGCTCACTGCAATCGCTGCCTCCCAGGTTCAAGCTATTCTCCTGCCTCAGCTTCCCAAGTAGCTGGGATTACACCTATAATCCTAGCTAATTTTTGTATTTTTAGTAGAGACAGGGATTTGCCATGTTGGCCAGGCTGGTCTCGAACTCCTGACCTCGGATGATCCACCCGCCTCGGCCTCCCAAAGTGCTGGGATTACAGGCGTGAGCCACTGTGTCTGGCCTGAAGGACATTTCTTATAGATATTATGTCTGGGGATATTTTCAAACTAATTTTTATAGAATATATATTAAAAATTAGTATTTTAAAATATACTGAAATGTTGTTTCACCAGAAGTTGGTAAGTCTGTGAGACTTAAGTTTGTAAGCAGACTTAGATTTGTTACCCTAATTTTCTTTTCTGAAGATAATTTAATAAATTAACCAACTTAAAGTCATAAACAGATCCACTTCTCTGCTCAAAGTAAAAATTCTTTACATTCTTATTGGAGCAATAAACTTTTAGTCCTGTCTTTATTTCTTTTTTCTTTTTCTTTTTCTGTTTTACTGCCATATGTAGCTTCTTCTGAATCTGTGACATGGCAGAGGTTTCAAACCCCACACATACACATGTGCACATATACACATGTGCACATATACACATGTGCACGCACACACACGTATGTCATAAAGGTAAAGTTTAATTTCTCATCTAGCCAATGTAAACAAAGCAAAAGACCTGACCTGTAGCTGCATTTTACAACCTAATGTTAATTGTTGCCCTTGGTTATACTATTGCATACATTTTGTATATTTGAAAGGTTCTCAGAACAAAGATGGGAGTAGTAATGAGATAAAATAGACTATTGCCATTACTCATTAATTCTTTTTTTTTTTTGAGATGGAGTCTCACTCCGTCACCCAGGATGGAGTGCAGTGGCACGATCTCAGCTCACTGCAATCTCTGCCTCCCGGGTTCAAGTGATTCTCCTGCCTCAGCCTCCTAAGTAGCTGGGATTACAGGCGCACGCCACCACACACGGCTAATTTTTGTGTTTTTAGTAGAAACGGGGTTTCACCATGTTGGTCAGGCTGGTCTTGAGTTCATTAATTCTTTTATGTCAAGACAATTTGTGGATTTCTGTAGGAAGTAAACTGATAAACGTCATTCATACAAATCATATTTCCCACAATTGATATCTAAAAGTACATTCAGAAGAACAATAAATGCACATTCCCTAGTTATTTGACATGTCTTCAAAACTACCACTAGTACAAAGTTGCATTTTGGGTATTAGCAATAGGAATAGTGAAATGAAAATATTATTGCCTTATAAAATTCACTGGCTCTTAAAAATATGCCACCGGTGGAGATGAGATGGTTAATAATATCTGTCAATAATTTAAATTTAGGTTCATGCACAGGTGGTGTCAACTTTTGAAGCCCTATTCAACCAGACTGGAAGTAATTATGAAGTAAATATGAATGCTTTTAATTCACCTTGTCCACAAATATTTATTAGATCCAGTTATCTGTCTTTATGATTACTTTCATGAGAGCAACAAGTTCACATGGCTTGTACATTGTTTTAAATAGAGTTTGAGGCCGGGCGCGGTGGCTCACGCCTGTAATCCCAGCACTTTGGGAGGCCGAGGCGGGCGGATCACGAGGTCAGGAGATCGAGACCATCCCGGCTAAAACGGTGAAACCCCGTCTCTACTAAAAATACAAAAAATTAGCCGGGCGTAGTGGCGGGCGCCTGTAGTCCCAGCTACTTGGGAGGCTGAGGCAGGAGAATGGCGTGAACCCGGGAGGCGGAGCTTGCAGTGAGCCGAGATCCCGCCACTGCACTCCAGCCTGGGCGACAGAGCGAGACTCCGTCTCAAAAAAAAAAGAAAAAAAAAAAAGAAAAAAAAAATAGAGTTTGAAAATAGAGTAACATATAGGTACATATTGTTCTATATAAAATCATTTTTGGCAGTTGTTATACTGACACTCCTTATCAAAGGAAATAGTTTTTCCTATGTCTCTGTAAGGCATATATAAAATTAATGGCATGCATATTACTGGCAGATGCTCTAAAAGACCTTTTACACCTTAGTTGGGTTTTTCAGAGTTTTCCCGTAGACCAGGTTTTCTCAACCTCAGCACTGTTGGCACTTTGGACCTGATAATTCCTTATTGTGGGTGCTGTCCTGTGCATTGCAGGATGTTTAGCAGCATCCTTGACCTCTGCCTACTAGATGCCAGTAGCACCTCCCCACAACCTGTGTTATAATAACCAACAATCTCCTGGGGAAGAGGGGTGTAAAATGCCCTCCCCTGCCCCCCATTGAAAATCACTGACTTAGACGAATCTCTGCAGAAGTGTGGTTTTATTTTGTAATCCAGACTTCTTTTATAGACCTGGTTCTAGATGCCGATCTTCAGGATTGGTTTCTATTTCAAATTATCTCTATTTCAAATTATCTTTAATTGGTGGAGAGCAGTGAGTGTGTGCCTGCATGCGTGCCGGTTTATTATTTCTTTCTCTGTTGTAACTTAATGTATACATTTTACTAAGTAGAAAGAGATAACACCATTATAGTTCATTACTTTTGGTATGTGGTTATAGGTTATTAATAAATTCTCTTCATTTTCTTTTAAAGTTGGTATTTTCTAAGTTTATCTTGAAGAGTGCAATTGATTTCATTTAAGAAGAGCCCACTGAAACTTGATTTAAATTTTTTTTATTGTGGCAAAATTCATATAATATAACATTTACCTTCATAACCATTTTAAAATGTACATTTCAGTGGCATTATCTATATTCACATTGTTGTTCAACCATCACCACCATCCATCCACGGAACTTTTTTTTTCTAAATTTATTTATTACTATTTTTTTGAGATGGAGTTTTGCTTTTGTCACCCAGGGTGGAGTGCAGTGGTGCGATCTCGGCTCACTGCAACCTCTGCCTCCCAGGTTCAAGGGATTCTCCCACCTCAGCCTACCGAGTAGCTGGGACAACAGGTGCCCGCCATCATGCCCAGCTAATTTTTGTATTTTCAGTAAAGACAGGGTTTCGCCATGTTGGCCAGGCTGGTCTCGAACTCCTGACCTCAGGTGATCCACCCACCTCAGCTTCCCAAAGTGCTGGAATTACAGGCGTGAGCCACCGCACCCGGCCCACAGAACTCGTTCATATTGCAAAACTGAAACTCTGTACCCAGTAAACGGTAACTCCTCATTCCCCTTTCTCTCCACCCCTGGAAACCACCATTCTACTTTCCAGCTCTATGAATTTGACTGCTCTAGGTTCATCGTGTAAGTAGACTCATATAACATTTGTCTCTTTTCTGACTGGCCTGTTTCTTTAGTGTAATGTCATCGAGATTCGTCCATGCCGTAGCATGTGTCAGAATTTTCTTCTTTTTTAAGGCTGAATAATATTCCATTGTATGTGTAGACTGTATTCTGTTTATCTGTTCATCTGTCTATGGACGTTTAGGTTCTCCCACCTTTGGCTATTATGCATAACATTGCTGTAAACATGGGTGTACAAATAGCTGTTCAGGTTCCTACTTTTAATTTTTTTGGATATATGCCCAACAGTAGAATTGCTGCTTTGTATGGTAATTCTATGTAAAAGCCAAGGTTTTCATCTTCTTTAAGCACAATGCTCTTATAACTTTAGCCACTTTTTTTGTTGTTTTTCTAATTTCTTTATTTTTAAAGGGCAGTTTCCAAGTCATTTTATTCAGAATTTTATGTTTCTTGAATCAATAAATACTATACAAAACAATGCCAGTGTAAAAATGGCTACCATTTTCTCTCCTCTGCTTCCCCTACATGGGTACAATCTGCTGGGCAGCCTCACTCAGAAGTTTTAGGGGCTCTCCCTCCAGATTTGTTCCAGCAAATGAAGTTGAGTGACATAGTCCCTTGAATGATTTCCAGAGAAACTCAGCTGGGGTGGGGAGAGCCTCTGGAATCTGGAGGTAACTAGCTTAGGGAAATGAATTAGTGTTTTGGGGGAGAAGAACTGGCCCCTAGGGCAAGAGCCTACCCCAAAGAAAAGGGTGTCTGACATGTTCACAGTTAACTTCTTTTGCCTTAGAAAGTGGTATTTGTTCAGAGAAAAAAGCGACAAGATGTCCATGCCATACCCCCACACCTGCTGCTCCTCTGCCCCTAGCTGGGGCCAGGTAGCAGAACAGCCTCTCAGACGAGGTCAGCAGTATTGAGGGGCATCTCCTTAATGGAGATGTTGTAGGTCTCCATGTCTCGAAGGGTCTTCTTGTCTTCTGTCACCATGACTTTGATTACTTTGGATGGAAATCTTTAAAAAGATATTCTATACTTTTATGTTATTTAAAAAATTTATTAAATGTTACAGAATAATTTTGTAGGAATCAGGCGTTACTGAGAATATCAGATTTTATATTATGGTGAATATGGTGATGTCATTAGGGAATGAGAAAGAGAGACACTGTGCTATGTTTCTGTACCAACTGCCCTCAGATACTGTGTGTTTTAAGTTTTTGTATCTGCCTCCTCTTTTGCTATAAGGCTGATGCCTGTTATTCTTCCCTTATTATCAGCCTTTTCATTTTCTAACTTGTGACTTTTTCATAGGGTGTCGTCTTAGAAACCAGTTAACTAAGCTGGTTAGAATTGTATGTAATGTAGGTCAAGTAGGCTCGGAATCAGAAGGGCTTTTCATGTGCAGTATTTGTAAATGGACTTTGTAGCATCTTCTTCGTTTGCATGACTTAAAGGTCTTAGCACATTCTCAACTAAGGTTCAGATAAATGTTATTTCCAGGTAGCTGGGTTTTATTTGTATGTAAAGACTGCAGTATTGTCAATACATGAATGTATAGGCGCCCCCCCCCCCTTTTTTCTTTACTGATTGTTGTAAAGAATGTAAGAATGGGCCGGGCGCCGGTGGCTCATGCCTGTAATCCCAGCACTTTGGGAGGCGGAGGTGGGCGGATCACCTGAGGTCAGGAGTTCAAGACCAGCCTGGCCAGTGTGGTGAAACCTTGTCTTTACTAAAAATACAAAAATTGTCCAGGTGTGGTGGTGGTTGCCTGTAATCCCAGCTACTTGAGAGGCTGAGGCATGAGAATTGCTTGAACCCGGGAGGCAGAGGTTGCAGTGAGCTAAGATTGTGCCATTGCACTCCAGCCTGGGCAACAGGAGGGAAACTCCATCTCAAAAAAAAAAAAAAAAGTAAGAATGCCTAGCAGTTACTATTACAAGTGGGAAACTAGGAAACGATAGCGTGGAGTGACTGTAAGAACTTCTTGATAAGGGAGCAAAACTAGATTTTTATTTGGATTTGGAAGTTGTCATCTTTTAGCTTATTTTCACTCGGCCTACAAGGCCAATAAGCGATATGCCTGATGTGAACAGGCTACTTGAATATGTTTGTCTTTATTCATAATATTCTGAAACTACACAATAGAAATACTGATCTTTGGCAGTATCTTATTCACTAATATATTGCAGCGTCTTAAAGACTGTTCTTGTAGCCAAATGGTTAATAATGGTTACATCCAGGATTAAATTGAATCTAGGAATGGAGGGGAAAGTCTCTTGCTCTTGAGTTGTCTCTATTGTTTGAATTATTACAATAATCTGTTGCTAAAAGTAAATTATTAAAATTAAAGAACAGAAACTGAAATGGCAAGGGGATAAAAGTGGAGTGATCTGCCTTCTAGATGCTTCGCTTGTGATTTGTATAATATTTACCTTTTATTAAGTTCCTCAGGCACTGAGCTAGGAACTTGACATGTTCTACCTGTAGTCTTTATAAATATTATTTATGGATGCGGAGTATTTATTTTCCTCATTTTAAAGTTAAAGAAACTTTAAGTTGCTCAGCATCATGCAACTAGTGACAGGTAGACCAGAATTTGAAGCGAGGTTGGTATGCCTGCCAAAGCTCCGTTTTTCTTTATTGGGCTGTACTGGATAAAATGCGTTCTGGTTGGGAAGGGGAACACGGGCTGTTGCCTGGTGATCCACATCACAAGGTCAGCTGAGCCAATGATGACTTTCCATTTACAAAGAAATGAACAAATTAAATAACATCTGAGTATGCATGTTTAACATTCTCTGTATTTATTAAAACACAACTAAAGCTAAATATCATTTTGATGAAGTTTATCTGCATTTTTTCTTTTTCTAGTCTGACTGTGGCTTTTCTCTTAGACTGTAACAGTTTTTGCAAAAGTTCCATCAGAAGATTTAATAAACTCTTCATGCATCTTTTGGAGAGTTCTAATCTATAAGGCTGAAAAGTTAAAAAGTAACGCATTGGATTTTGTTTAACCTGTTTAACCAATTTATTGGATGAGTAAACTCCTCCCTAATCCTCTCTCCCTACCACTGTAATATCTGTTCAGATCCCAAGTGTCCGTAGGACATATTTTAGAGCAAAGTTTGACTGACATTTTAGAAGAATGTTCGACCAAGAATTTTCAATTGGAAAGAAGTTGACGTGAGTCTGAAGTTGAACAGTCTTGGTGCTGGGGAGCTTCAGATCAGCCTAGCAAAAAGACTCTCAGAAGACCGTTTGTCTTGTGAAAGGGATTTTTAGCTACCTACGTAAAACTTCCTCTGGAAAGATCTGATTTGCACTCTGTGATAGAAAAGGCGTAGGTTTGGGTGTCAGAAAGACCTAAATTTGAATCTACAACCAAGCTATTAGGTGAGTGACCATGGAGGATAAAAGTGTCCTTAAGCCTTAATTTCTTTGTCTGTAAAATGAGAATAATGTCGTCTTAAAGGAGAGGCTTTTAGAAGTAGCTATGCAAAACAACTAGCAGAAGTTTGCATTTCATGGGTACTTAGAGCACATTGGCTTATTCAGCCCTTCATCCTGTTTGTCATCCTGACCCAAATGAGAGAGAAAATAGAACAGGAAGAACGTGATGAACAGCCTGAAGATGGTCTCTTTTTCCTAGTAGCTGTTTTTCTGGTGGCTGACATCTGAGTTAACCAGCATCTGAGTACGCTGCGTGTCCCTTTTTCATTCAAGTGCTGGAATTAACATGCCAAAATTAACAGTGACTTCGGGTGCTTTGTAGGTGTGTGTGTGTGTGTGTGTGTTTGTTTTTGAGACGGAGTCTCGCTCTGTTACCCAGGCTGGAGTTCAGTGGTGCAGTCTCGGCTCACTGCAACCTCCGCCTCTCAGGTTCAAGCAATTCGAACTTCTAGGTTTTTCTAGTTTGCATATCCCAGTTTTTGTTTGTTTAATAGAACCTAATCTGTATCAAAACTTAACTGCTAATGACATACATGTAGAATAGTTGAAATAGGGATATAAAGTTATTTTTTCATACTCTATTTAGATTTTTATTGTACGTATTCAAAGTTAATCATTGAAATTGTACTTTGGAAGGGGGGAGAAAACTAAATTCATACCTTTTTTATTTATACAGCATTTTATCTATATTACTGTGGTGCTAGAAAGAAAAAGAAAAAACCTTTCATCCTTATATAGCAATATTAAGGAACATCTCAAGAACTGAGACATTTGACACAGATGTTTGAGATGTTGATTTGCTTTAAGGACTAGAACTGACCCAGAGGAGATTTCTTTTTTTTTTTTTTTTTTTGAGATAGAGTATCACTGTCACCCAGGCTGGAGTGCAATGGCGTGCTCATCTCACTGCAACCTCTGTCTCCTGGGTTCAAGCAGTTCTTCCGCCTCAGTTTCCCGAGTAGCTGGGATCACAGGCCCTGGGATCACAGGTGCACGCCACCACACCGGCTAATTTTTATATTTTTAGTAGAGACGGGGTTCTGCCATGTTGGCCAGACTGGACTTGAACTCCTGACCTCAGGTGATCTGCCCGCCTCAGCTTCCCAAAATGCTGGGATTACAGGTGCGAGCCACTCTGCCCATCCCAGAAGAGATTTCTCGAGTTCTCTTCTAGTGACTAATAATTTATGATTCTTTCTAATGCACTTAAAAATATTTTATGTAAGACATTTTGATTTCTTACAGCAATGATTCTTTTAGCATATATTTTTTTAAAATTGGTTTTAAAATATCTGCAGTGAAATGGGATTTGAGGAGAAATAGAAATATGAAAAAATACTTGGATTGTGTTTGATTTTATCATGTGAAGATACTAGACGCTTTAAAAAAAATTTTTTTTTTTTTGAGACGGAGTCTCACTCTGTCACCCAGGCTAGAGTGCAGTGGTGCCATCTCAGCTCACTGCAACCTCTGCCTTCTGGGTTCAGGCGATTCTTCCACCTCAGCCTCCCGAGTAGCTGGAACTACAGCCATGTGCCACCACGCCCAGCTAATTTTTGTATTTTTAGTAGAGACGGAGTTTTGCCATGTTGGCCAGGCTGGTCTCAAACTCCTTACTTGAGGTGATCCACCGGCTTCGGCCTCCCAGAATGCTGGGATTACAGGCATTAGCCACTGTGCCCAGCCCACTTTTAAAATTTAAGAAATGAGAATATCCATGTTTAATTTTAATGAGAGAAGCCTTAGATGTTTCTAATGTGTCATCTTTTTTTGGATATTATAACACAACTTTTTCCTTGTGACTTACCAGCTGATTGTTACGGTAACCAAGTATCAAGAGATAACGTTATGAAATAATTGTCTGGAAAATGTCGTGTGACTTTCTAATTTTCTTTTCTCAGATTCATAGTGACCACTTAGTAGCTAGTGAGAAACAGCATATGCTCCAGTGGGACAACTTCATGAAGGAGCAACCCAACAAAAGGGCTGAAGTGGATGAAGAGCACAGAAAAGCCATGGAAAGGCTTAAAGAACAATATGCTGAGATGGAGAAGGACCTAGCGAAATTTTCAACCTTTTAAGAACTTGAACCACAACAATCACAAACTAATGAGAAGATGTTCACCTCTCTCCTGAAAACTATTCCCACCAGACCGTTTAGCCTCTGCTTCAAGCTTAGCAATATATTCAGTGGCACTCTTATATCAGAAGAAAGAAGTTTCTACTGGCATTCTGATTGGATATTTAAAGAAGGGTGCCACATTTTTCCAGCTTTAAGTGCCTATATATGATTATTTGAATGAAGAGGAGTAGGAAGGAAAATGGAATCAATATACTCTTTGTTAGTCAGAATTGATCATCTTTTCCATTGATTAGCTCAGAGAACTGTAGGTATAGACTTCTTAGAAAGATAATTTCATTCATTTCTATACAGGGTTAACAATAGTTTATTATTGTGGCTTAATGGGAAGGTATAGAAGCTACCTGTCATAGCCTCCTTGGCTGTTGGAAGGATGTATAAAGTGTTACTGCATGAGTAATGTAGACAAAAAAAAAAGCCAGCTGTCCTTGGAGCAGAGATCACATTTCAGAGAGGTGAGAGTGAACACATTGTCTCTGCTGTGGCAAAGATGGCCACGCTGGTGTTTGAGCTGCCTCTTGGGAAGCGTTGCATATTTTACAGTGCAGCATAATGCCATGGGCTTCCGTGGATGGGAAGACACATGTTAAGTTTTGTGGCCTTCCAGCACTTACTATTTTCAGCTTTTTAAAGCATGCTTAGAAGGAAAAGCTTACCAAAAATATATTTTGACATTTAGTTTTTCCAAGAGCTATAATCTTGCCCATAGTATTTACCTCATTTTTGTGTCTGTTTTGCTGTGGGTAAGCTTTATAAGATAAATAATGTCTATACATGTTTCGACTGTTTAATGAGTAATCAACAAAATCTGCCAGAGAGTCCCTCTGGAACCATATAAAGTTCCTGGCTTTGAATGAACCAGAAGTGTTTGCCCACACAGCAAATGGTCCATGTTAAATGTAAATCCTTTTTAGTGTTAATGTCTGTTCTCATAAGCAGGTATATTATGATGAAACATGTACCAGTTCTGTCATCACTGTGATCTTTAAAAACCTGCATTTAACAGTCTAATTTGAGGCTGGGTGCAGTGGCTCACACCTGTAATCTCAACACTTTGGGAGGCCGAGGCAGGCGGATCATTTGAAGTCAGGAGTTCAAGCCTAGCCTGGCCAACATGGTGAAACCCCGTCTCTACTAAAAATACAAAAATTAGCCCGGCATGTTGGTGCACGCTTGTAATCCCAGCTACTCAGGAGTCTGAGGCACGAGAATCACCTGAACTCAGGAGGCGGAGGTTGCGGTGAGCTGAGATGGCACCACTGCACTCCAGCTTGGGTGACAGAGTGAGACTCCATCTCAACAAAAAAAAAATCTAACTGAAGAACTAAGTTGATTTTTTATTTGCCATAAACCAAGCAAAAGTAAATGCAATAATTTCGAGATTTATGGTAAACAAATTTGAGGTATGGATAAATCTTTCACATATTTTTTATTGCTCTTTAGTAAAGAAAGGCACAAGAAAGAAAATATCCAGCTCTCTTGTGTTATCTCAGTGTGGCGACTGCAGAAAATTGACAATGCCTGCCTGTGTAAATGTATGGCTTACTGTCAAAGCTTCATTCTTGGCTGCATGTTGAAAATGTGATTAAAGTTAATAGAGGAGATGAAATAAGTATTTGAGATTTTTTTCAATAACACTGAACTTCTGCCAACTTTCTCTATCCGCTACTGTAGGCTTGACAGGCTCATCAATCATTTGCTGGTACCTGGACTAAAAAGCGCACTTGCTGACACCAAGGCATGTTGGAATTTTCTTAATTCAGTGGATGGAAAAAGAAATACTTCCAAAAATATCCCACACATGAAAAGGGAGGGGAGCCTTAAATGAAAATTCCCTTTGTACCGTAGACACTTTTTGGAATGCGATTAATTGCCAACACATCATTGAACGAATGCTGTAACCAAGAAATTAAGATTGTGTGTGTGAAGGGAATATATTCTTAACTGTGGCTACCCAACTTGTATAGCAAAGATTTCTGATAGTTTGTGTTCATCTCATGTGAATAATAAATACTTTACCCTATAAGTTTGTTTATTATTCCATAAATACCTAAGGGACTTCCTAAACCAAAATGAATTGATGGGCTTTTTGAGCTTTAGACATTAAGATACTCAATTGTTTCTTGTAACATTTTTAACTATTCAACATAGCTTCTATAAGAGTTGGTTTATTTACCTTCCTTTTGATATTCGACATAGCTTCTATAAGAGTTGGTTTATTTACCTTCCTTTTGATATTTTTAGTGGTGAACGCTTTTGCTTCTGTTTCCTAGTTGCCAAATCACTTTTTATATATATTTTATTTATATGTAAAAAACAATTTTAATAACTACATAATTTGTAACATTTCTTTCCTTTTTTTTTTTTTTTTTTGCGCGACAGAGTCTCACTGTGTCACCCAGGCTGGAGTGCAGTGGCGCGATCTCGGCTCACTGCAAACTTTGCCTCCTGGGTTCAAGCAATTCTTGTTCCTCAGCCTCCTGAGTAGCTGATATTACAGGCATGTACAACCATGCCCAGCTAATTTTTATATTTTTAGTAGAGAAGGGGTTTCACCATGTTGGCCAGGCTGGTCTCGAACTCTTGACCTCAAGTGATCTGCCCACTTCAGCCTCCCAAAGTGCTGGGATTACAGGCATGAGCCACTGTGCCTAGCCAGTTTGTAACATTTCTGCTGTGTTTGTGCTGTTGAGCAGAGATATTGTGGGTTCTATGTAGCTCATAGGATTATTGCAATGATCAAATGAAATAATGTTTTATAATTTTAAAGCACCATAGAAAGATTTGTTAAGTTCTATGTATTTTTAATTTTTAATTATGATTTCTTTCTCGACTAACATATGTATGAGGCTTTTTTTTCCCATTTCCTAGCGTGTATATTTTTAAATTCTGTGTTTATTGATTCCTGTTTTAATTGAATTTGAATTGTGGACAGAAAATAGGTACATGTTAAGACTGATCTGTTAATATTTGTTGAGATTTGCTTTATGACCTAGATTATAACCTGTTTTTGTAAATGTTTCATGATTGCTTGAAAAGTATGCTTGTTTTTTAGTTGTTGGATGTCCATTAGACCAAAGTTGTTAATTTTGTAGTTCAAATTTTTTCCATTTTACTATTCTTTTGTCTTCTACTTGATCTCTCAGACTCTGAGATGTGTTGAAATTTTCTATTCTAGTGAACTTACCAATTTCTCCCTGTAATTCTGTCAATTTTAGTTTTATATATTTTTATATATTTTGAAGTCTTGTTATAAATAAATAATTATAAATATATACATAAATATAAAAATACATAAACTATATATTATATTTATATGGATTATGCCAGCTAGCTGGATTTATAGGATATATCTTTTTTCATCCTTCTGTTAAACCTTGCTGTTATGTTTTAGATATGCCCTTTAAAAACTGTGTGACTGGGGCCGGGGACGGTGGCTCACGCCTGTAATCCCAGCACTTTGGGAGGGCGAGGCGGGCAGATCACGAGGTCAGGAGATTGAGACCATCCTGGCCAACATGGTGAAATCCCATCTCTACTAAAAATACAAAAATTAGCTGGGCGTGGTGGTGTGCACCTGTAGTCCCAGCTACTCAGGAGGCTGAGGCAGGAGAATTGCTTGAGCCCAGGAGGCAGAGGTTGCAGTGAGCCGAGATTGCGCCACTGCACTCCAGCCTTGGTTACAGAGCGAGACTCTGTCTTAAAAAAAAAAAAAACTGTGTGGCTGGATGTTTTTCTTTCTTTCTGATCATTTGTCAACTAAGGAGTTCAATCCATTTACATTTGTCAAAGTTACTGATATATTAAGATTTATTTGTATCATCTTATTTTGTGCTTTTTGTCCCACCTTTTCTGTTTCTTGACTTCTTTCAGCTTGAGTTTGTTTTGTTTCATTTTTCCATCTACTTTTCTTCTGCTGCTTTCAAAGTTAAACATTTCCCAGTTTCCAAATCAGTTTTGATATGTATTTTATTTATATGTAAAAATTAACTTTTAATGAAGTGCTTAGTAGGAAATTTAACTTGCGTAGTTAACAGAATCTAAAATTAACATCTTTACTCTCTTCCTATTCTTTAGAGATTTTTGTACAAAGTCTGATTTATCTCTTCAACTTACAAATTGTTGTCTAGAATTCTAGTTCTATCTCGATTTTACTACAAAAGTAGTTATTTTGTATAGTCAGTGTTTATGTAGATTTACCTAGAAGTTTGCTATTTTATTATCCTTGAAAGTTAGCTAGGTATACGATTATAGGTTGACAGCTGTTTTCTCAAATAATATTCTACTGTCTTCTTGCTTCCATTGCTGCTTCTGAAATGACAGTTGTCAGTCTGATCAGTATTTGTAGCTAATCTGCCTTCTTTCTCAGGTCATATTTAAGATCTTTATCTTTGGTGTTCTACAGTCAAATGTGGCCATGCTACAGTATGTTTAGCTGTATATTTCTTTTCATTGTCCTGTTGGGATTGATTGAGATTCCTGAATCTGAGAATTGGTACTTTTCATAAATTCTGAAAAATTCCCAGCTACTGTCTCTTTGAATATTGTATCTCCCTCATTCTCTCTATTCTCTCCTTTAGGAAATAAAATTAAGACTTCTGTTTTATGATCTCACTGTCCTCTCCATATCTCTTAATCCCTGTTTTATATTTCCCATCTCTCTGTCTCTAGGTGTTGAATTCTGGATAATTTCTTTAAATCTATTTCATTAATACTGTCTTCACTCTATCTCTAACCTATTTTACCCATCTGTTGTTAATTATAGTTATTATTTTTTTTATTTTCAAAAGAGTTGTTTGGTTCTTTCTTAAACTTTCCTGGGTTGTCTGGGATGGTTCCATTATTCCTTCTTTTTCTTTTCTTTAAACATATTAAAAGTACTTATTTTACATTCTGTACGTGGTAATTTCAGTATTTTTTGTGGATCCAGATTTATAGTTTGTTGCTTGTTTTTGCTGAAACAAGTTTATGGTGACGAGTTTCCTAATGTGATCAGTCATTTTTTATTTTAAGTTTGCATTCCTCTGAACTTTCTTTTGGGAGATTTTTTTTTTTAATTTCAAATATAGTCCTACAGAGAAGATTTTTTTTCCCTGCAGCACCAATTTGTTTATTGTGACACTACAAACCACAGACCACTTCAAAATCAGTTTTCATCTTGGATTCCCTGTCTCTCCCTTTTCTACTCCTTAAGCTTTTGCACCCACACACACATGTGTGTATGTATACGCACTCACAAAATGTGGATTTCAGCCCTAAACACCTGTGACTGTTGGCTTCGTTGAGGCATTCCCAGAGGAGACGTTTTTCTTCCTTTATATCTCTTCTTGAATAATGAAGAAGGGTAAATTTAGGTGTTTTCCTAGTTCACTCCTGAGGACAGTGTCCTCTGAGGCTTTACAAGTCCTCCTGCTCATCCAGCTCAGTCCCTGTTATGGACTGAATTTTGTCTCCCCTGAATTCATCAAGTAAAGCTGTAACCACATTGTGACGGTATTTGGAGACAGGGCCTTTAAAGAGGTAATTAAGGTTAAATGAGGTCATAGGGCGGAGAAGAGAGACCCCAGAGCTCTTCCTGCACATAGAGGAAAAGTCCTGAGATCACAGCAGGAAGGCAGCCATCTGCAAGCCAGGAAGAGGCGCCTCATAGGAACCACATTTTTCAGGACCTTGGCCTTAGACTTCTTGCCAGCACATCTTTAAGAAAATTAATTTTTATTTAAGCCACCAAGCTTGTGGTATTTTGTTATGGCAGGTGGAGAAGACTGAGAAAGTCCCTCACTTTGATTCCTGTCCCTCACGCAGGTATGGCTCCTAACAACTGGGGCCTTCCTAGGCTGCAGGGATGGGGATGCCTTTAGGGCAGTTATCCAGAGCTGAATTACCCTATAGAATGTCCCAGTCTCCTGAGCTGCCTTCAGTTGTTTTCACTAATTTGCCATAAATTCAGTCAAGAATAATAAATAAAGTTTAAATTTTTTTCTAGCATTTCTGGTGTTCAGTGGCCAGACAGATTTCTCTGTACAGAAATGGCATGTTATACAAGTACATGGTGATTTTATCATATTCTCCAAAAAAGAACACGCCCATATTCTAGTGTAAACGATACCTTTTTACTTTTTCAATATTACACTAAATCTTTTATATTAGATTATTTCCTGTTATCCATGAACTAATATGATTGTCTCTATTGCTTCTATTGGATTGATCTTTTACTGTTTATGAGCTAATGAAGGCAAATAAGAGTTCAGTAGTGTTCTAAACCTGCGTAACTCTTACCTGAATACCTGATTTTGGAATTTTTAATCTTTAGGACATTATTGTGCTTTGTGAAAATGTCTCAGGCTACTATTATGGGCATGAAAATAGAGGGGGCTTGATCTGTGCTATTAAACCCAAAGTGCCATGAAAATCTGGAGGAGTCACAGATGCCTCCAAGATACATAGTGAATTCTCTTCTTTGCTTTTATAATACATAAACTTTGTATCTGAACATTTCCATGTACTGTTTGAACAGTTTCCTACTGTGCATGGGTTTTCTGGTTGCCATTGCAAATGAAAAGGTAGCGGGTTTTATTGCTTTGGAATTTAGCATAATGTCTGCCTTTCCTGAAATTGTACCCGGGAGGCTTTTTATTTTTATTTATTTATTTATTTATTTTTTGCCATTTGGGGCTGTAAGTCTCTCAGGATGAAAAATACCAGAAAAATATTTTAAACATTAATTCAGTCAAAATATTTGAAGCTCCCATTACAGACGATATATTTTCTAGTAGTTTGTTCTTAGACTTTCAGAAAGGTTTTGTAATTATTTCATAATTTTCAACCCCAATAAAATGTTAATATTTTATTGACTTGGTGCAAATCAAGGTCATAGAATGAATGGAGAATGGAAATCAGTCATAGCGTATCACCTACTGCCTGCTCTTCCTCATTCTGCTCTTTCTTTTTTCTTTTTTTTTTTTTGAGACGGAGTTTCGCTCTTGTTGCCCAGGCTGGAGTGCAATGGCGCAACCTTGGCTCACTGCAACCTGCGCCTCCTGGATTCAAGCGATTCTCCTGCCTCAGCCTCCCAGGTAGCTGGGATTACAAGTGCCTGCCTCCACACCCAGCTAATTTTTGTATTTTTAGGAGAGATGAGGTTTTACCATGTTAAAGTTATTATACATTTTTATTTTCAGAAGAGTCGTTTGGTTCTTTCTTAAACGCCAGGCTGGTCTCAAACACCTGACCTCAGGTGATCCACCCACCTCGGCCTCCCAAAGTGCTGGGATTATAGGCATAAACCACCGTGCCCAGCCCTCTGTTCATTTTTGAATCTTAACTGCTACAAATAATGCTTTCTTGTGACTGGTCTGGCAATGATAGCAAAACAGCATTTCCTCTGGTATTTTCCTATTTATGTTCCATAAGCAAGAGAAAACAAACTTGGATTTTCAGATGTGATACACTTCAAAGAGCAGTAAGTTAGTAAGTACGCTAACATTTGATCCTCACAAAAACTCAAGCTTCAAATTATCTCTGAAGAAATAGTCCAAATTAATTTAAGGTAAGTAAATACAGTACTCATATTTGTATAACATAACTTAGAGCCTACTTTTTAAGTGCCTTATATGTAGTTTAATCTTATTTCATCATTATAACCAAGAAATACCCATTATATTCTTTTAGAGGAAGAGCAAAACAGCACAGAAATACAAGGAATATAGTGTTTTGCCCACCCAATGTTGAGCTAGCAACAACACATCAGATAGACTAAATAATACTTTCATGGTTTTTAAAAAAATCCATAAGTGATACCATGAAAATCCATAGTACAGATGGATCCAAAAATTTTTCTTTATCATTACATCGCTTTCTAAAATGATAGTCTGATGTACTACAAACATTAATAAGTCAATATGTGAAATTCTGCTCTAAAATATTCTGAATCATTAAAGGTATTTACTATTATTTCATCATTCGCTGTGTGGTCAGGCTTTGCCATAGGTTAAAATATAACATGAGATGATAGATATGTTAATTAGCCTGATTGGATCATTCCACAATGTATGCATATATCAACCCATCACATTGTACCTAATAAATATATACAATTATTTATCAATTTAAAAAAGGAGCCAAGCACAGTGGCTCACACCTGTAATCCCAGCACTTTGGGAGGCTGGGGCAGGAGGATCACTTGAGGCCAGGAATTCAAGACCAGCCTGGGCAACATGGTGAGACTTTGTCTCTAAAAAAAAAATAGGAAAAAAGAAAAAGAATATAACATGAATGTAGGTAAGATTAAGATAGAAAGTGCCACCCTGGGAAGAGGCCAGTAAAGTGCCACCCTGGGAAGAGGCCAGTGCATGATTCAAGGACATTTAGAACAGACAACACCAAGCTCAAGTGGTGCAGCATTTACTGATAGCAAGAGAGGAGAGAGTGTGTACACAAGATCCAGCCGTTTGCGTCAGTGCCCTGTGGCCAGCAGGTCCACTCTGCAGACCATGTGGTCAGTACTGTATTTTTTTAAAACTTGAAATGAATGAGGATATGTGCATTCCATCATTCCTTGGAGCAATTGTTTTCCCCTTTTAACTTTAAAAAAGAAAAGTTTGGTTGAGACCTGGCAGGCATTGAAAGTTAGCCTCCATTGCAAGTATTATCACCATTTATGAGTGTGAGGTTTTACCATAATAGAAGTCAGTGTACGAGGTTATCTGTGTTGTGCTTAAAATTTTCTCTACATAGACCTGATTTTTGACTTTTGTGAAATTGTTTATATTGCTAACATTTATCATTCAGAGAAAATATTCTGTAAATGTTGATTTAATGTAATAGTTTCCCTTAAAATAGAATTTATAGAGAATTTGAAAAGAAAACCACAAGTTAATTCACTTTTTAAAAAACTTCATGTCATCTGAATACTTAAGCTGCTTTGTTTGGAAAGTGTCTTTTTAAAGAAAATAGTTAATAAAATTACAGTAAGATAATTGTCACAAAATAAAAATCTTAGGTGGCCAGTTGTGTATTACAGAGATTTGGTTTTAACAATTATACAAGTTATTTAAGTGGGAAACATTAATATTAAATTTTATTAAGAAAAATTTTGACACCAAAAAATCTGTCCTTCACTTAGAATATAAAATGTATAGCTGAACACCAGCAGGTGTCACTGTGATAACATGTTTTCCCCCCCTGAACAGTTTTATGTGGATGGGTGCATACCATCTATGGACAAAGATATTTAGGAGATAATAAATGTAAGTTATATAGCTGAATAAAAATACCAAAATGTAGGAAAAGCCTATGAGTTCCATGATGGTTAGGAATGCTGTATTTTTTTTTTTTTAGGATTGCTGTATTTTTAGGAGAATTGTATTTTTTTCTCGCTTTCTTCATGTCATAAACATACAGTCTTCCATTATGTAAGTGATGTGCTGTTTTATTAGCAATAAAAGTAGAGTAAAAATCCCTTTATATTTGGGCTATGTTGAAGTATAGAATGGTACAAAAATCATTAAGTTACACCTTGTATAACCAAAGCCAAATTAAGAAACAGAACATTCCTAATAATGTTTTTATATGGGTTTTGAAAAACTTGGCCAGGCGCTGTGGCTCACGCGTGTAGTCCCAGCGGTTTGGGAGGCCGAGGCAGGTGGATCACTTGAGGTCAGGAGTTCCAACCTGGCCAATGTGGCGAAACCCTGTCTCTACTAAAAATACCAAAAAAGAGTTAGTTGGGCATGGTGGCGCGCACCTGTAGTCCCAACTACTCAAGAGGCTGAGGCAGGAGAATCGCTTGAACCCAGGAGGTGGGAGGTTGCAGTGAACCGAGATCGTGCCATTACACTCCAGGCTGGGTGACAGAGCGAGACTCCACCTCCAAAAAAAAAAAAAAAAAAGGAAGAAAAGAAAAGAAAAAAACTCTTGGTTCATTCCTCCAAATTAAGGCAGTTATAATTTTTAAGTTAATGTTTAAAGGCACAAAAATATAGCAATTGGTCGAAAATAGAAATTTAAGAGCTAGTTGTCAGTATTTTTTTCCCCACCTAGCATGGAAGCCAGAGTAGGATTTAATAAACATATGAGCATTGTTCTGTGTCAGGATTATATTCCAAAAGGCAGATAGTCAGAAATAGCACTCTATCTTAAAGGAATTTATAATTGAGTTGTGCACATGTAACAATAAAGTAGAAAACCAAGACCGTAACGTTACATAATACCACATCAAAGACTATGATATGCTAAGCAGGCAGCGTATGACTAAAATAAGTGAGTCCCAAGTAGGAACTGTCTTTGTGAGTTGTGGTCAGGGAATCATTTGTAGTAAAGATAAAACTTGAATGCAATAGGATTTGCGTTATGAAAAGGATGGCAGAATCTTTCCAGCTCAGTCTAGTTCAGTAAGCACCTGTGTTCCAGGAACTAGGGCTAAGAAGCTGACTAAAGCTTGGTTTCTGCCCTTGTTTATCAAAAACACAGGTGGACATACTTTTGGGAAATTTAGACAATAATCCATAGACTTCTTTGATGTTGAAGCAGTAGTGGATCAGTCTGGAAATTGGAAAGTGCACTGGAAATTGGAAATGAGAGAAGACTTGCATTTTGGTCATGCTTCCATCACTAAATTTGTACAGAGACTTTAAACACATCACATAGATGGTTTTCACATCATTTCCAACTTTAATAATTTGTGCTTATCCTGTAGGTAATGGGACTCTTACTGTAAGTGGCACGATGAAAGTGTTACAGGAAGGTTACTCTGTGGACTCAGATGTATGACTGATAGGTTGAGGAAATTATTAGCCTGCATTAGGATTTTTTTTTTAGAAAGTAGCTGAAAATAGCAATTTCTAGTCTAGACAGGGCAGGGATAGAGATGAAGATCTTGGCTTGGAAGTTAAGATTATGGGAATTTTTAACATCCATATATAGATATGTCTATGGACTGTTTGTGTTACTTATGACAATTACTGGCATGGCTTCAGATTTAGATAATCTCTATTTCTCTTTTATGTAAAATTGTAATTCTTAGCCCAAAGTGACTGAATTTTTGCTTTTGAGAACACCATTACTATAAGTAGGAAATCAAGAAAGTTATTAAATGGCCTTTGTCTTTTAGGTAAGTATTTTGCTTTTTATAATCAGTGCGAAAATACATCAGGTTTTATTAAGCAGCTACCTCTATTTAAGGATTTCCCATTTCCTTTCCCAGAAGACTGAATTATTCAAGGAAAAGAATGTTTTATGCTGTTTTATATCCCATGCATAGGACATGTGCTGACCACATATTAAAAAGGGGAGTTCGTGGGGGCTATGAGGATGCAAAGGCATAAGAATGATATCATGGATTTTGGGGGCTCGGGAGGAAGGATGTAAAGGGGTGAGAGATAGAAGACTACACATTGGGTGCAGTGTACACTGCTCAGGTGATGGGTGCACCAAAATCTCAGAAACCACCACTAAAGAACTTCTCCAGTTCCCCAACAACTATTGAAATAAAGAGAAAAGAAAAGGGAAGTTCTTGCTGTATTACAAGGCTGACCATGAGTTAGTTTGGTTAAGGAAGATTTGAGTTATCCTTGCTATTTACATTGCATTTGTGTTTTACAATAATTGAATATGAAGAAATAAAGACTAGATGAATGTGTTTCATTGTTTTTAATCAAAACTGTCAGGCTTGTCAATAGTCTGTCATCACCTGGTTTATAATAATTGCTATTTCTCTCTGGAAAGGCTTAAGCTTTTAAAGTAAGCTATATACTGCAAAGTAGAAACTTGAAATTTTACCTTTTTGGAAAAAAGTTACCCCCGTTAACAGTATTTTCCCCCAAAACCTCATTTAGATCATTTGTTTGGGACTTGGAATGCATCTCCCAATAGAAACAATGATGTACATGGTGATTAGGCTTTTAGCTGGCCCACAAACACGGTATCATGCCTCAAAATACCATAGTACCAGTAGTGATACGTAATGCTCTAAGCTAATAATGAGCCACTATATTTGATGATTTTTTTTTTTAAAGAACGGTATTCAGAGCCTTGACTTGTGGGACCTGGGATGTACCCCATTTGGCTGCAGCTCTGAAAGTCATATTGCCAGGTGGGAAAGCAAAGCAGAATCTCTTAGCTCCCGGTCCCTGAAGGAGGTATCTGCTGTTTAGGACCATTCCCTCTGCGGCTGCAGCCCCAACCTCCCACTGGCCTGCTTCCCTTTCTGTTTACTTGCTGCCTTGCCTCAAAACAGTTTGTTCTTCAACTCACTTTCAGAAAAAGCCTCACAGTTTCCCTTTTATCTGGTGTTGAAGAGATTCTGAGGTTTTTACTAAGGTTTTTGACAATAAGGAGAAGCAGATGAGAAGCACCCCTTTCCATCACCACTAGACACACACACAGCTTTAAGAGTGCTTAGGTGACACTGATGGTTCCCTAAACGCATCACTGGATAAAAGCATCTCCTTGTGCAGATTAAACGAGCTCCTGTAACATTTTGTTCTTGGTTTCCTTAGCGCGGGACGTTCTGTGGGGTAAATCGGCTCTGAGGTTGCTGCCTACGGGATTACACTAGGGCTGAACAAATGACTAGTGAAAGTGCAGAGCAGTCCCCAAGGGTTTATTTTCATCCCTTCCTTCTTGCCCCGACTGGCCCCTGGCTATCACAGACCTAGGTATCTTATGAAGTGAATTCGGCTCCCACTTGGAGATCCCAGGTCCCAGTGGTATCTGCAATCATGAGAGCATAACAAAATCCCTCTTCTCTTCTGTATCTGGGGTGTGTGTGTGTATGTGTGTGTGTCTTATATGGATGTTGGGTTTACTGTGTTAAAATCTTATGTAGGCCACAGAATAAGACTAATTAAGGCCACAGAATAAGACTATACTTAAGTCCTGAAATGAATAGACCTTACTAATGTTAATCACCTGAGAAAGTGGTGCGTTCTTAAAGAGGACTAGGTGGGTGTGAGAACCTACCTCTCTCACCCTCTCTCTCCCCCTACCCCTTTTCTTTCTTCTCTCTCTCCCTCCACAGTGGGCAGGGGTTACAGATAACCTCTGCCTCACAGAAGTGGACTACAGGTCACGCAGTCATCTTTGTAGGAGCACCTGAACCAGAGATGAGTGAGTTATGTTTTGTAAACCAGATTCTCTATATTGTATTGTGTGGCCATTTCCATGTTGTAACCCCCAAATTCTCCATGAAACTTCGTTTAAATGTTCCAACATGATCTCAGCTATGTAGAGGAAGTTAAGCAAGGCACTGTCCCTCAACACCAAAAGTATTGGATAGTGGTGGTGGCAGGGAGAAATCTCAAAGAAGGTAGATGTTGTCCCGTGAGGTCTAGTTACTACTCTCCATGTGGACGTTTCCCCCTCCATTGCCCACCTAGGAGCATCTAGACTAAATTTTCATGAAGAAAAAAGCAAGTTCCCTCTGCAAGTTCCTAACACTTACAGTGTTAGGGATAGCAAAATTGCAGGCTATAGCAACTGAAAAGTAACCTGGAACACTCATTGCTGAGGCTGACTGACTGGCTGAACCAAGTGTAGACAACGATGTGTAACCTATCCTGCTTCTTGCAAAACAAAACATGGATTAAATGTGTGCAGAACAGAAATGCATGTTTTGAACATTAATTATCAAACTAATTTTATTTTTTTCAGAAGATGAAGAAAATTTAGATTATGCAAAATCATTAATTCAGCATATTATAAATGCGTTATAAACTGCCACCTAACCCCAAGAAGCCTTCCCTATGCTCCCCATTTTCCCTTTAGCTACTGCTCCATTTATCTGCTCACGTTTATAGCAAAATGCCTGGAAGGAGCTGCCAGTATTTGCTGCTGTGTCCACTTACCGCATTCTGTATTCTCCCTTGAACCCTTTCCAGCTTGGCTTTCAGTACCACTCCTCCCCTGAAACCACCAGCCACCTCCATTGGGCCAAATCCAATGGTCCTGAGTTTTCACCTTATTTTTCAACGGCAGTAGGTACAATCGATTACTCTCTCCTTCTAGAAACACTTTCTTCACTTGGCTTTTTGATGACCAGCTATTCCTGGTTTGCTTTCTGCCTCTCTGGGTGTTCCTCCTCTTTCCAACCTCTAATTATTGATATGCCTCAAGGCCAGACCTCCAGCTATCTCTTCCCTGCAGATACTTCCCTGCAGCCAGTCTTAGGATGATTAACTATCAACTCCCCAATTTGTATCTCCAGCCCTGTTTTTTTCCTCACATATTTGACCACCTGATTAACATCTGCACTGAGATGCCTAATAGGCATCTCAAACCTCAATATCTGTGCCTCAGTTTCCCCACCTGTAAAATACGGGTGGTAAAAAGACCAATACTTAACCTCGTAAGTTTGTTTTGAGGATTAAATGAGTTAATATATGTAAAATAGAACCTCACATGTGCTATATTTAATGTTTCCTTTATAACAATGATTATCATTATCATCAATTCTAGATGTCCATTTGGGAATTTGCTCTGTGTAATCCATCCATTAAAAGGTCAACAGGTCATGATCATAAGAAATTTAAGCTTCTTAGAATGAAGTCCATAACAGTTCCCCTTGGACCACTTAGTTGGATTAGACTTTTTTCTGTGGTCTTAAAATACATATTAAACCAAAGAAATACTAGTTTAGTAAATCCTTAGATGGCACACCCATACAGCTGGTACCACAAATGATGTCACATTTCAGGAAGATCAGCTAATATATTCCATGGAATCAAAGGTATTTTTCAGGATGAAATGTGTTTTACTTCTAGTTCCCATGCTGGTCTTTGACTCAGACCCAAATCAGAGAAAAATTTAGCCTTTCAAATAGGTCTCTGCTGAACCCATTTTGATAGCACTTAATTTGTCGAAGTTATTTATTACCACATTTAGTAATTTTGGTAAAAATTTCTCACTTCTTAAAACAAATTTTGCTTACACCCTTTCAAAAGAATGTTATTGGTATGTGGGTAGGTTGTCTGGGGCCAGCCTCTTATCTAGAGACCAGATTTTAAAAGTCTGAGTTGAGTGAAGTGACTTAGACTGCATGCCTTTTGTTTTGTTTTGTTTTCATATGCATGTATGGGTCTTGCTAAAACACATTGCTCCCCTCATCTAGGAACAATGCCGCACACATCATTTCCTGAAATAATGGAGTTGGAAGGCAATTATCTACTCACAAAACAGGCTGAAACAACAGTTCCTGATATTCTTCTCAAATACTTTAACTTCCCAAGGAATCCGGAAAAAATAATTCCATGAGACAGTGTTGTGAATGAAGGTATGACATTCCAGTTTCCTTCACTGCAGTCCAGGGACCAGAGGTAATAAATTACCAAGCACTCGGCGCTATTGACAGGGGCTCTGGCCATGGTGAGCTGTTTGTCTTTGTACTGCCTTACAGCCTCTTGGGAGATGATGGCCCTGGGTTCCTTTTTGTACACTTTTGGGAAGCATCCCAGAGATTACTTGCAGTTTATTGAACTATTCTTATTTTACAACATTGTTTTCCTTTTACTCCTAAAGAGAATTTGGGACTTCTGTTTCAGACTTTCCAGATAAGAAATGCAAACTTTTAGAAAGAATGAATATTGGCCAGGTGCGGTGGCTCACGCCTATAATCCCAGCACTTTGGGAGGCCGAGGCAGGCAGATCACGAGGTCAGGAGATTGAGACCATCCTGGCTAACATGGTGAAACCCCGTCTCTACTAAAAATACAAAAAATTAGCCAGGCGTGGTGGTACATGCCTGTAGCCCCAGTTACTTGGGAGGCTGAGGCAGGAGAATTGCTTGAACCTGGGAGGCGGAGGTTGCAGTGAGCCCAGATCGTGCCATTGCACTCCAGCCTGGCAACAGAGCAAGACTCCGTCTCAAAAAAAAAAAAGAAGAATGAATATCTATTTCAGCAAAACATGTTTTGGGGTAGTGTGAGAGTTTTTTGGGCCCCTTGAATGTGGATTGGTAGATACTCCTATGAAGAGGCATCTTTATAATCCTTAGCAATCTAAACATCACCAAGGTAGCCTGATGGTACCCATGGCAAAGAATAACAATTAGGAAGATTGCTAATGTTTAGACATTGCTTTCTGGAATTCTCATTTGAAAGGAAGTCGGTACTGTATTTAATCAGGGATGAGAAAAAAATTGAGAATAGTCATCTGGCTGTTGAGCCTGTACAAGGCCAACTAGAAAGCTGTTTGGAAACTAGGTTGTGTTTTACATTTCATCTGAATGTTTGCATTTGCCTCTGTGTTGACATATCCTCCCCCATGAGTGAAAGGTGTAATAAATTGGATATAAGAGTCACAGGGAGGAACACTGAGCAGATTGAAGAGGGACTTGAGACACTGCAGCATTACTTAGGGGGTTTCATCGGCTGCCTCTGGGCATTTTTCCCGGAAAGATAGACCATTCTCTGTCTGGCTTTCTGGGTCTTCGTAAATCCTCTTCCCTGTGTGGAAGCTTAGGTATCGATGTCGTGTCTCTTCATTCCGCCTCAAAATCAACTTGTTTGACATTTGCTCTAGTGAAATGTATAACTTTTACAAGTATAGTGTGAAACTGGCATTTAAAACTACTTATTTCAGGCAGCCGGATATGGTGGCTCTAGCCTCAGGAGGCCAAGGCAGGATTACTTGAGCCCAAGAGTTTGAGACCAGCCTGAGCAACATAGTGAGACCCCATCTCCACAAAACAATTAAAAAATAAAAATGCTTATTTCTGATTGTATCAGAAATTTACCAATTCCTCATAAATTATGGAAATCGCTAAATTGAGGTTTTCTTTCTTTAAGGCATCTTTCCATTTGGCCTGGCCACTGCCTGGCCGAACGATGTGGTTGGCCACACATCCATGTTAGAAAATCCATTACCTTTCTCATTGTTCCTTGATTCCCACTGGCTCTTTTCAAGCCAGGAGACTCAAATTGAGAAGCTATAGGTGGAATGAGTCAATTTGTTTTATTAAAAAGGTAATGGGTCAAATTACCTCTTGAAGAAGAGTCAGTGACAAAAGCTAAAAGCAGAAGTAGGGTTTGTGCCACCATGCCCCAAGGGACAGCGAGTGGGGCTGTGCAGCCTGCGGTGTGGGGAAAGCAGTCCTGGGTGGAGGAGGGCCAGGCATAGGCCTTGGCACATCGTTCATTCCGTGGAATATTTTGGAGCCAGATTTCAGTGGTCTAGGCCTAGTTAAGAACTTGAGAATGAACAGTGTCTGGAGTCTTAAATCAGTTGTCTTCATTGTTTGGCTTTAGTTTATAGCAGTGGAATCATTTTTGGCTTTCTTATCTTGGCTCACTCCCAGGATTGGCTTAACACACTAGTTACCCAATTCTATAAATTCCAGTTACCTTACTAGTCTTCATAGCTACCTCAGAGGGAAATCGCCAGCCATGAATACTCAACTCGATGAAGCTGTCTGTGACGCACTTAAGCCCTAATGGGCTGCTGTTTATATTTAAGGATAAGTGTTATTAATGTTTTCTGGAATGGTCATTATTTTCTTGGTAATATTGAAATTTGGCAAGATATAGTATAGCTTGGTAAGCAAATACCAATTGTCTGTTAGTCTTCAATGACTAGGCATAGCACAGACTTACACAGGTAGGAAAGTTAAATTCAAGTCTGTGAATTTTTAATTCATTGTTACTTATACTGGACAAGTGATAGATTATGAATTTATATTTGCCATATACTTTTTTATAAGCATTGTTAAATATAGAATGAAATTTTTCTAAAGCAACATCTGTCTTAGACTGCATGCAGGGACTGTATCACTAGGCCAGTCAACATGTATCCAGTACTTGGCTAATTACAGGGAGTGTAAATGAGGTATATAATATGTGATTACTGCCCTGTAAAAAAACTTTTGTTGAGGAAGCAAAGGCTAAGTTAAATGAAATAGTTGGGAAACAGTTTAAAACTACATTTTAGAACGCTTGGATTTTACAGGAGGAAGAAATCACTGTAGGCTGAAATAGGTCATTGCGTCTTCCAAAGAGGCTTCATGGAAGAGGCAGGATGTAAAAGATGAATGGAATGTAAATGGGCAGAAAAGAGACAAGACAGAAACATTTGTGGAGCCTCTTTTGAATGCCAGACTCTTTGATAGCAACTTTATACACATAATCTCATTAATCCTGCTGAGTAGACATTTATATCCCTGTTTATACTGAGAATATTAAAGACTGGAGAGGTTAAGCAGTTTGCTCAAGTTTATACAACTAGTGAGATGCTCCTAAGTCATGGTTAAGACGATTGGCTCTGAATTCCAGGCAGTTTTAGATTTGAATCTCAGCTCCTCACTGACTGGCTGCCCTTCGTCTCCTTGTGCTTCCATTGTTTCATCTGTAAACCGGGAACTTAATAATAGTGACCTCACAGGTATAGAGTGATGAATAAATTACTTAATGAGACAAAGAACTTCACACAGTTTTTCATATGCTGTAACCACTCAGTATGTGTTTAAATATATATAGAAAGAGAGACAGATAATCTGACTGAGAGTCATAGCGACATCTTGTCTGACTCCAAAGTCTACATTCTTTGTAGTATATTACCCTGTAGAGGGAGCAGGTAGAAAATTCCAGATGGGAGAATAAGAATAAGCATTTTGTCTGCTAAAGAAAGGTGACGTCCCCTGCATGCCTGAAGTAGGGTTGGGTTGATGAAGTCATGAAAAATTAATTGGCTAAAGCAGATGGAAGCTAATTATGTAGGACCTTGAAGGGAGAACTTCAGACCAGATGCCACAGAGACCAGGAAAGCCAGCTAGTTCCTAGACGGAGAATAGCATGATGAAAGCATTGCTCTAGGCGGCAAAGAGGGGAAGGGTGGGGGTGCTGGAAGTTTACTTGGGAAACTGCCAAGTAAAGTATGAGGTAATGTAGTCTTGTGCTGCGGGGAGCAAAACCAGAACGTCCAAAGAAAGGACGCACATGGAGGATGCTGGTGCTGGCCGTGCCACCACACACGGCTGCTGGACTCTGGATGCTGCCGTTTCTACTAGCAGCCCCTGCCCTGGCACTAATGCCACAATGTATTTCTCTGCTGTAGACATGCTAAAGCTGAAAGCCAATGTTAACTAAAAACGATTCTGCCTTCTGTAAAATAAAAAGTAGGTGATGTTTTATTCTAAATAAATCACAAAATAAAATGTATGAGAAAAATATAGTGTACCACAGAGTCACTTAAGGTGTAAGTTTTCAGCTCAGCAAGCCTCATATACTGTTTTAATGCATGTGTACAATTTACTAAAGATTTAGCAAATTCATTACACTTCTCAAAAGGCTTGACATTTCTGATTGTATATCTCATTTTCCTCCTATTTTTTTTACATCTTTACCCAATGACATGTTTCCAGCTTGAGCGCAATAATGCCCAATCGTTTTTCTTAGCAATGTAGACTAGCACTCTACCTGCTAGGGCATGTAATTATCTACAGAGGTTAATATCTGAACATAAAAAGTGGCATCTATTAGCTGAATGGATCCTGAGCAAATCCTTTGTTTATTAAGCTGAAAGCTATCATCTGGAGGTCTTGCTGACTTAGAAGGGCCTGAGTCTGACAAATTGTTAATTAATATTGCATGTTCAGCCAGTAGCTACAGTATTCAGCCAGTAGCATACGAGAATTGCAATGATATAATTATATCACTAATTACGAAAGAGTATATCAGAATGATTAAGAATATGGAATTAGGCCTTGTGTGGTGGCTCATGCCTGTAATCCCAGCACTTCAGGAGGCCAAGGCGGATGGATCATCTGAGGTCAGGAGTTCGCGAGCAGCCTGGCCAACATGGCAAAACCCCTTCTCTACTAAAAATACAAAAATTAGCCAGGTGCAGTGGCGGGTGCCTGTAGTCTCAGCTACTAGGGAGGCTGAGGCAGGAGAATTGCTTGAACCCAGGAGTCGGAGATTACAGTGAACCGAGATTGTACCAGTGCACTCCAGCCTGGGCAACAGAGAGAGATCCTGTCTCAAAAAACAAAAAACAAAAAAAAAATGGAATTGCAACCAGACAGTCATGGGGTCCATTCCTGACCTTATTCCTCACTAACTGTATGAACTTGGCATATTCTTTATCCTCTCTGAGCCTCAGTTTCCTTACTTGGCTGCCAAAAAGGCTGGACGGGATACCATTTGGGAAGCATTTAGAACAGCATCTGGCACTTTAAAAATGCTTGATAAATGTTAGTACTTAATCATTATATTAAGCATGATAGTTTACAAAAAAACTTGCTCACATATTGAATTTCTTTGAACCTGTCAGTCCTGTGAAATAGACAGGAAAGGTGTTATTCTTATCTGATATTAAGAACTGAAGTTCATAGAAGGATTCAGTAACTGAAGTTAATTAGCGGCAAATCCAGAACTGAAAATTAGGGGCTGTCTCCTCTAGATTTCTAAACTACACACATAAAATACAAGACAGAGGCAAGAATCCCTGGCCTTTATGAATTTAAGCAAAGGTTCCTGATAGCAGTAGTTTTCAAATGCCAGTCCACGGACAGTGATCCTACAGGACAGAGTTTTCCCGTGTGTGTCATTTGGATTCTCAGACTGGATGGTGAAATGAGAACATGAGGGTTAGAGCAGTGAACTTGAGATAGAGTTAAATTTATCCACCTTAAGGAACTGCCTTTTACTATCATGTTATAGCTTTTCTACTTTTTGGTATTGAAATTGCCTTATGAAATGATGACAGATCATGGTAGCTATTTTTTGGTTAATGTCTCTATCTGAAGTAAGAGAACTTTGACAAAGACCACTTTGGGTCGCAGGTTTTGTTTTAGAAATGTTTCTAGTCCAAAATCGGAGAATCACTGCCCTAGAGTCATTTCATTATTTTACATATTAGTAGTTAAGTATACCGTAATACTTAGTTTATCTACATTAAGCCATAAAATCAGGGATTTGGATTTTTATGCAGTTTTTTTTTTCCTTCTTTTTTGTTTTTAGAGACAAGGTCTTGCTCTGTTGCCTGGGCTAGAGTGCGGTGGTGTGATCATAGCTCATTGCAGCCTTGAATTCCTGGCCTTAAGCGATCCTCCTGCTGCAGCCTTCCAAGTAGCTGGGACTGCAGGCACATGCCATGACACCCAGCTAATTTATTTTTGTGTAGAGACAGGGGTCTTGCTGTGTTGCCCAGACTGCTCTTGAACTCCTGGCCTCAAGCAATCCTCCCACCTCGGCTTCCCAAAGTGCTGCGATGACAAGCGTGAGCCACTGCATCCAGCCCTCCAATTTTAATTTTCTCTTGCTCTCTTTTTAATTACATAGATCACTGATGCTTATCTTTTTTAAGTAGCAATCGCAGACCGTTTTAGGAATCTTTTGGTAACTCCATCCCCCAAAACACATACACAAACAGTTATAGGTGCAAATTGGCTAGTTCACGAATTTGGTGGTACAGAAGCCCAGGGACGTGTAGGTGGCGCTGGTTCGTTAGTTTATGTAACCCGTTTTCTTTGTTTTTTTTCATCTTGCTTGTTTTCCCTATTAGATGTTAGGGCTTATACAGGTGAGAGTGGTGTTACAGGAGACTGGGCAAAAGGCTTAATGTCAGGACCTGATGGTTACGTAGAGGTCACTGCATCTTGTGTGGTTTTTCAGGCAGAACAGTCATATGATGGAAGATTGTAAAATATTATTAGTTATTTGTTATAGTTAATATATATGTTAGCAAAGAAGTGAGGAAGAGGACTCCTACATACTCCTACATACTCTCAAAGGAGAGTATAAATTGATGTAACCTCTTTGGAGGGCGATCTGAAAATATCTATCAACATTTAAAATGCACATACTGGCTGGTATGTGCTTAACAAGGTATGGCACATACTTGTTAAGATGTGTACAGAGGTCTTTGTTGTAGCTTTTCATATGAGAAAAATACTAGAAACAACATAAATATCCATTAATATGGAACTGGTTAATCAATTGTGTGGTATATTTGAATGGGAATACTATGCAGCCATGAAAAAGGATGGGTTAGCACTAAACATGATAATATGGAATGATCTCCAAGATGTTATTATGTGAAAAAGAAAGATACATTTTAAAAGGAGAAAATGCACACATGCTTGCATTTGGATATTTCTAGAGTGTATACCAGCAGCTGGTACTGATGACTGCCTCAGGGTAGGGTCTGAGGAATCAAGGGTCTGCAGGTCTGCAATGGGAGGGATACTTACTTTTCCTTTTTCTATTTATTGTAGTGCCTAAATCTTTTTTTTTTTTTCGAGATGGAGTCTCGCTCTATCGCCCAGGCTGGAGTGCAGTGGTGCGATCTCGGCTCACTGCAAACTCCATCTCCCAGGTTCACGCCATTCACCGGCTTCAGCCTCCCGAGTAGCTGGGACTACAGGCACCCGCCACCGCGCCCAGCTAATTTTTTGTATTTTTAGTAGAGATGGGGTTTCACTGTGTTAGCCAGGATGGTCTCGATCTGACCTCGTGATCTGCTAGCCTCAGCCTCCCAAAGTGCTGGGATTACAGGCGTGAGCCACTGCACCCAGCCTGTAGTGCCTAAATCTTTTAATCAGGTCCTTGTATTACTTATTCAATTAAAAAAAAGAGCTAGTTAAAAGGAGTTAATTTTAAAAATTACTGTGCAATATGAGCAAAAGAGGTTAGTGGATATTTACATTTCCTAACTGCAAGGAGATAAGGCAAAATGAACAGACTTCTTTTTTCCTTTTCTTTTTTTGCCTCATTCTCTAATGTGAGATCAAGGGGGCACCTGATGGAGTTAAGAACTGGGAAATGAATAAATCAAAGGAAATAGCTTTTTGCACAGCATGTAGCTAGTCTAAGGAATTTACCGCCAGAGGCAGTCATAGAGTCAAATACTGTGGCTGGATTTTTTTTTGGAAGTCTGGTCACTATGACCAGTCATAACATTTGTAGTTATGCAAGAAAAGATAAGGATAATCAAATCTGATGGTGCAGGATGTAAGCTGATCATTGCAAAGGAAGGAATTTCTCCCCAGCCTCCCTTCTTTTTTGGCTTCTCCCAGTGCCTCAGAATAACATTACACAATTAGCTAGGTCTGCTTTGAAGAGTTGACAGTACTTCCTCTGAATCATTAGGTATTATCCACAGCCAAGGGAAGGATTCCAGGCCTGCCAGAGCAGCAAAGCTCAGAACTCTTTTTTTGCACCCAGAGCGATGGCCCCTTCAGTTCCAAGTTCAGCGTTTTGGCAGGACAGCCCTCCTGCTGCTCTGCTCCTCCTGCCATTCCCGGTGAAGAACATGTTCAAAGGGAAATAATGGGTTTCAGCTCTTCTCCCGTTGAGCTGGCACTCTCGTATAAACAACAAACCCAAGATTATTGAGGGACTGAATAGATGTTCAGGAAATAATTCATGCTTTTTTCTCTTTCTCTTTCCTTCTTTGGCTCTGACTAGTAATGAATCCCTCCACCAGGGGGTAGACAGAAGACATAAAAGAAACCAGCACTGACCAATCTCATTTAGGCCCCAGTAACAGGTTTCATATTGTTCTAGGTCTCATTCATCCAAATAACCCAAGAAATACTGCACCCATTTACTGTCTTATATTTTAAGATCAAGAGTAGGATGTATCAAATTGACTTCGATTTGAGCAAGTAAGTAGAGTGTAGAATAGTATAGTATGTCAACATGAGCCAGATAAATTGCATTAACTAAAATCTACTGCAGATGAGGCCATTCTGTTTCTCCATGTGACTAGTTCAAAGGCAAAACTTTAGTCACATAAATGAGAGGACCTTCTTTTTTAAAAGTTTCTCCCCCATGTTATGGAAGCTGGCAACAGGCAGGCAGGGTATGTCTGTGTGCATGTATATGCATGCAGGGTGAATGCCCTTCCCTTTTCTGTCAGCCAACAGCTGGATGACTCCAAGACAACACAGTCAGTGATCCCAGGTCCATCTGGTGGCCACACACAGGGGCACGGCCTCTTGCTTGTCCCACAGACAAGATTCAAAACAGTCACCCAAACACCCAAAGTTCCAGGAGAAAATTTGTATCATTTTTGTTTGGCTAAATTATGTCTTTAAAAGTTCCAACAGAATTTTTAAAAATATCTCTTATTACATTTAATTATAATTTTAAAATAATTTCTTTGCTACTCAAACTCATCGACACCATGTACAACCTTACCTTTGAAGCTTTTTAGGAGACCCATTTCACTTCCAGCATTGTCCAGTAGAACTTTCTGCAGTGGGGGAAGTGTTCTTTATCTGTGTTGTCCAATATGGTAGCCACTAGCCGTATGTAACTATTGAGTACTCGGAATGTGGCTAATGTGTCTAAGGAACTGAATGTTTAATGTGACTTAATTTTCATTGACTTATAAGCAACAATGCCACCTGAACTTTAGCATTTCTTATATCCTCAGCCCATTTTTACTTTAGCATCCTAGCAAACATTCAGAAGTGACATGGTCATTTTCTTCCTTCTGGGATGGAGCGTTGGCTCTCTTTATTGTCATTAAGATCTTTGAAAGCAATAAGAAGATATAATTAGCCGGGCATGGTGGCTCACGCCTGTAATCTCAGCACTTTGGGAGGCCAAGGAGGGTGGATCACCTGAGGTCAGGAGTTCAAGACCAGCCTGGCCAACATGGTGAAACCCCATCTCTACTAAAAATGCAAAAAATTAGCCGGGCCTGGTGGTGCGCGCTTGTAATCCCAGCTACTTGGGGGGCTGAGGCAGGATAATCTCTTGAACCTAGGAGGTGGAGGTTGCAGTGAGTCGAGACTATGCCATTGCACTCCAGCCTGGACAACAAGACCAAGACTAGTCTCAAAAAAAAAAAAAAAAAAAAAAGAAGAAGATGTAATTTTTCTGTTTTCACACAGTTTTAGGAAAAGTGACACAGACTTGTCATTATGCAAAGGCTACGGTTTTTACTCAAATCCTGTCATGGGGCCTGTGTTGATACCTAATATCCCAATGGTAACCTCAACCTGCAACAGTAGTGAGGCTTTTTTCTCTAAATGGTATAACCCATAATTTTAGACAATAATAAAAGTTTAAAAATCTAATTTTTGCACAGCCAAGAATAACATGGGGTACTAGGAAATTCCATCAGCAAGGCAGGCAACTTCTTGGCATCAGGGATTGTGTCTTTTATCTGTTTCCTTAGTTCTAGCATAAATTTTAATAAGTGCTTCTCAAATGAGTGCTTTAGTATATGAGTGGATGAATAAATGTGTCTCAGAAGTCATGCTAGTAACATAACATTAAAGAAGCCTCTCATTAAAGCTCCTGGTGCCCTAGCAGGTATCTTTATTGGCAGATAAGTTATGGAAAGACACAATGTAAGAAATAGTATTTTGGACTCATGAAAGAACTCATATAAAAACATTGAAAACTCATCCATGACTAGTTTAGATAGTTTGAAGAATAAGTGGTACCCTGTGTTTATAAAGTATATGGGTCCGTTCGTTTTCACAAAAAAAAATTATTTCTCTCTGCATTTATTTATGACAATGCATGTCATCTTTCCTGGTCATGCCTTTTCACCTCGCTCTGCCTTTGCCTTATGCTGACAGACACATGGCATCGTCAGCTGCCTCCCTTCCTTGACTCCTGCCTTGTTTTACAATTATTACAGTCAGGTGTATTAAATTACAAACTAAGAGCCTTGCTTTCTGCTTTAAGATGCTTTACAGGATAACCTCAACTTTTCCTTGTTCCTGTCTCCTTTCTTCATTGTTGTCAAAATGATCCATCGGTTTCTTTTCTTTTTCTAAATAACTGATAAAAGTTTATTACATTAAAACCATATATCACTTTTATATTGCATTTGCCTTTTCCGAATGATACAAAGTAGAAGCAAATAGAGACACTTCATTAAAATGTTGATTCCCTATTCCTTTCCCTAAGACCCAGCCCTCCCTCAAATATTCTCTCCCACCCCTTACAGAACTCTGTCCTTAATAAAACACTTAAATACATCATAAATAGTAAATTATGAAAAAAATAGCAAGAATTGTTTCTTTCCTTCTTGTAAAAAAGAACATGGCAGCAAAGACAGGCAGCCAGAAACTGGCTGGGGGTGTCTAATATAGAAAGTTATTTGGGGTATGGGCTAACCTACTGTCAAGGCAGGGTGGGATAGAGAAGGGATAGAACAGGAATTCAACAATATGCCTGAGATACCAGGCCCCCTTCTTCTCCTGACAACAGTGGAAGGATCAGATGGAAAACCACAACTCTTGTAGGTGGGGAGGAGAGGGCATATGTAGCCCCCATTTCCAACTTCTCTGCATGAAGACGGGGGTAGGACATATGGCATAGCAATGACCTCACCGAGGCAAGAATCCACTGTCTCCCCATGAATTTAAGAAAATATTTGCTGGCCTCACAGATACGGACTGCCTGTTAAACAGACAGAGGTGTCCCCTCTTCACCTTAGCACCACAAACAGGAGAACACTGTTGGAAAAGATGGGAAGAGCAAAAAAATCTCCTTTGGAGAATGATCTAAAATTCATTTGGTAAGTCTTCATATTTAGAAAAGCAACCAGAATATATTTCAAATTGCAAAACAGTAATAATCATTATAGCCTGGCAGTGAATAGGATTCTGCCCAGGAAGGGCTATGATCTCCCAACCCATGGCTGCCTCATGTTTTAACAAAAGTGGTAAAGATTACCCCACGTCCCACTCTCTCCATTCCTTCAGCCTTAAGAAATTCATCAAGAGATGAGGAGTTTAAAGAGGAGCTGCTTCTGGCAGAGCAATCACTACTTTTCCCTTCACAAACACCGTGGCTCTTCTGAGGGAACCCTACGGATAGGCATCTCGTCAACACTTCTGGATTTTTGATCTGAAACTGGCTTGAAATTTGGTGCTGTGCGCTTTTTCCTTTTTTCAGGAAAAAAAAAAAAACAAAGTTGGGAGGTGGTTAAACACCCTTATCCCCCAAAAACCTATACAGAGATTACAGGGGTTTTCTTCCAGGGATCAGAGAGAAAGAACTAAGGTGGGGATAATGTGGCAGCTAGTCTGTCCTGAGGAAATGAAGAGTCCAGTTCCTGGTGAAAGATGAGGGGAAAGAAAACTGCCAAGTCCAGTAATCTCATTTCCAGCATGAAGAATGGGGGTCTGAAAAAAATTCAGTTGTGGAAACCAAGGTTAGCCAGTTGAAAATCCGTGCCACCCAACTCTGGAGTGGAGGGGATGCTGTGGAGAGGATGGAGTGGTCCTCAACTGTCCAAGGCACTAATGCCCATTTATGAGGACAGAGAAGAATAGGAGGCTCTTCTTCAGGAAGAAGATGGAGAGTGCACCTCGCTTCTTTTACACTCCTTTTTTGATGACCAAGTAGAAGAAAATTCAACATTGCTGGGGCAAGGGCTGACATCTTGGGATCACAGAGAAGCAGAATCTTGTTCCAGGTCTTCTGAGGCTTTGCGCTTAATGGGTGAACTCTGACTCTGTACATTCAAGTTTTTCCAAGGTTATACTTGTAGTTAGCATATGCAAAGTCTTTCCAACTACAGGTGAGAAACTGTGGTCAGTAATAGTGAGCCCTCACTGATTTCCTCCAAAGGTGGATTCTGAGGTCTGAGGTAAAACATCAGAACGACCAAGGTGAACACCTGGCTCCACTTGCACCTTTATCACTTGTGACTTGTGTTCCTCAGAGACCAATGGCTGGTAAGTAATGCAGGAGTTGCCACTGGAGCCCGTATGCAGAGAGAAAGATAAGCCAGACCGAAACTTTTTGGAAGGAGAAGGCTTCAAGGGGATCTTCTTAAATACTGCGTTGCACATGAAGTGCTGGAACCGTTCAGCGTAGAAGCCTGGGCGATGCACTGAGACAGCGTCCCCATCATGTACCACGGCTTTCCAAGAGTGCTCCAACTTCTTAAGAAACGTGTAAGACTGTAGAATGTCAATGATGCCAATATAAAGCAGAAGCCTTTCCCCTTTACTATTCTGAGCAGGGATGCCACCCATATGGTCATCGGCCTCCATGGTGTCGCCCAGCCGAGCCTCTCCCTGGATGAATTCCATGGCTGTGGAATACAGAGCCTTTTGGGGAGCCAGTCTTTGAGTGTCGATTGACACTTGAAGAGTGTCGCTGCTTAAGGGCTCTCGTTGTGCATGATCTATATTGTGGATTGACAGCCAGAGGCTATAGTCCATTATCTTGAAGCTCTGCAGCACCAAACAGTCACGCTGCAGGGTCTTACAGAGAGCATTGTACGTGTCAGCATCCAAAAAAAGACCATCAGGGATGTCTTGTAAGAAGTCTAGATCTTTAAATGTGGGAAGAGGCTTCTCTCGCTCTTTCTGGGAAGCCCGGCGTTTGTAGGTTGAGCCTTTGAGGTCATATTTGATATGCATTTTGACGGATCTTGGTAAAAGATTGTTCATCACCACAATCCGAATGTTCTTGCCACCTGTCTGCACACAGTACAGTCCAAAGAATTTAGGCAGCAAAGTCCGAGGGTTCTGGCTGAGGTTCAAGTAGTATCCTGGAAGCAGCTTCTGCAGAAACTCCGCCTCTTTATGTTGGAGTGTCTTAATAATGAGTTCATCGTCGCTGGACACATAGAACAGGGAACCACTAGCTCCAGAGCTACAGAGTTCAATCAGCGGCTCACTGCAGAGGGAGCACAAGTAATCATCGGGCGGGATACCAAATAGCTCCCGAAAGTAGCGGAAGGCAACCGGCGCATAGGTCTTGAAACGGAAGGCATTGTAGTGATGAGCAGGGGTCAGGTTGCTCCCTTCACTGGGGAAGAAGATACTCTCCACCACGTAGAAATCTTGCATGAGGACATCACGCTCTGGTTTGGTACTCAGGCTCCCCACAGTGTAAGTAATGCCTAACTGGATGGCACCTTTCAAGGCTGTTGAGGTTGTCTTTTTATATGTTGTCTCTCCTGAGGAATCGACACCTCGATGGCCTGTTTTCTTGATGGGCATGCCAGAGGCATAAGGCACCTCAGATGCCGTGGGGCTCAAGATTCCAGATGCTGAGGACGCGGTACAGGAAGGGGCCCCGGGATCAAAGGATGAAAAACCGACCGCCAACGACGGTTGGGAGGAGGCCGACGCCATCTTGGCAGCCCCCTTCCCGGCAGCCGCCTGGCTGTCTTTCCATCCGCCTCTTCCTGTTCTCGGAATCGAATCTTCTCCACGTGTCTTTACAGAACCCGCGTTCTGCGGGCCACCTTCCCGCCGCCTCTGGGGCCTCCCTCAGACCTGTCATCGAGCCGGCTGCTGGACCAGCTCAAGGCCGCACCATTCGCCTGGCATGGGGGAGAACGCCCGTCTCGCACGCCCTCCACAAGTTCAACCGCTTTCCTCAGAGGAGACTTTCCGCTTTCACAGAAGAGTAAGCTCAAGCTGACTGCTTGGACCCTGCGTCAGGAAAAAGCCACATCTGAAGAAAAAAAACAAAACGAGGCGTGAAAAGTCCCAGAGGAGCGAACGCCGCCTCTCTGTCCTCCCTACCCACGGCCTGTTTACCGCCCAACCCAGCCGCTTCGATCCGTCAGTTTCCTTCTTTTTTTCTTTTTTTCTTTTTTTTTTTTTGAGACGGAGTTTCCCTCTTGTTGCCCAGGCTAGAGTGCTGTGGCACGATCTCAGGTCACCGCAACCTTCATCTCCCGGGTTCAAGCGATTCTCCTGCCTCAGCCTCCCAAGTAGCTGGGATTACAGGCACGCGCCACCACGCCCTAGCTAATTTTGTATTTTTAGTAGAGATGGGGGTTTCACCATGTTGGTCAGGCTGGTCTCGAACTCCCGAACTCAGGTGATCCGCCCTCTTCGGCCTCCCAAAGTTCTGGGATTACAGGCGTGAGCCACTGTGCCCAGCCGATCCATCAGTTTATTTACGTGATCAACCCATTCCTACCTAAGCCTTTTTTTTTTTTTTTCAAGTTGCACCTAATGACTCGAATGCCCTATCATCTCGGGTCCTCTAGCCTCACTTCTCTCTTAGTATCAGAAACATACTTGAAACTCCAATTCATGTATAGAAGCTTTCTCAAACAACACCAGTGTGTTATGGAAGAAAGACCTCAGCGCTCTAGAAGTGTGATAACTGATTTAAGAATCTGCTTGTGCCACTAGCTGATTGTTTGATCTTGGATAAGTCACTCAACATCCCTGGGGCTCTATTGCTGCCTCTATGAAATGGGAAGGGAGGAGTTTAGGTAAATTTACATGATCCCTCCATACTCTAAAACCTATGGAATTAAGGAATAATATTTATTCCCTACCATCCTGTCAAAACCTATGATAATGACATGCTAACAAATAATGCCGCAAATATGTTCTCTAATGAGACAGAAAAATTGTACACTTTATTTATATGAAATTTATTATGTGTGCTGCTATGCCCCCAGCATACTACCATGAATGGACAAGTATTTGTGATAATAAAATATTTATAAATGGGGATTGGCTTTTGTTTATGGCAGAATAGTCCATTTAAACCAACCTCCCTCAGAGAACAAATTTTTTTAAAAATTTGGTCGGATACATTGGAGTCCTAAGAAGTTAGTGAATAATTATAGTACTGAGATCTGGGAAAAGAAAGAAGTACAGAGAGGTGAGCATTTGGGCCCACTGTTTCCTTAGGGACCTCTGCATGTTCCATTAGAGGTAGCTGAGAGTCTGATAAGCTTAGCAGAGTTTTTGACAAACTCAGTGGATTAGGGAACAAAAAACTGAGTTTGGGGTCTGATACAGCAATTGTCTGCTAAACTTCCCAAAACTTCGGATTGAGACCCTGAAAGGCTATATAGCATGGGAGTAAATGTGTATAGAAATAGACCGTTCCTCACAGACACTGCAATTCAGCTGCGAATCACCTCAATCCCTGGTGGGATCAAGATAATTGAGATGGGTAATATCCCTAGATGTCTATAAAGAGCAAATTTATATTCCTCTTTGGAGAAATATATTAATAACATTGTCCTAGCCCTTAAATTCTCTCTCATTTTTTATGTGTAATGTCCAGAATTCAGGCAGTCATTATTATGTACATAAGGAGTCAAGACAATGTGACTGAATACCAAGAGAAATGATAGACAATAGAAATGGACTCACAGGGGATCCTGCCATATCTCAGTAATATCATTCTCTTATACAGATTTTAAAGTAACACTGATTAATATATTTAAAGAAATAAATGACAAGATTGGCAACTTAAGCAGAGAACTAGAAATGCTATAAAAGAACAAAGTTCTACAACTAAAAATTATGATAAAAGAAAAACTCAATGGATAAGATTTATGGCAGATTAGAGACAGCTAAAGAGAGAAGGAGTGGAGTAGGAAAATCTGAAGAAAATATCTAGAATGAAGCATAGAAAAATAAAAGTTTAGAAAATACATAAAAGAGGCTGGGCGTGGTGACTCATGCCTGTAATCCCAGCACTTTGGGAGGCTGAGGTGGGTGGATCACCGAAGGTTGGAATTTGAGACCAGCCTAGCCAACATGGTGAAACCCTGTCTCTACTGAAAATACAAAAATTAGCCAGGCGTGGTGGCAGGCACCTGTAATCTCAGCTACTCTGGAGGCTGAGGCAGGAAAATCGCTAGAACCTGGGAGGCAGAGGTTGCAGTGAGCCAAGATTGCTCCATGGCACTCTAGCCTACGCGACAGAGCAAGGCTCCATCTCAAAAAAAAAAAAAAAAAAAAAAAAAAGACAGGAAGAAAACAAAGAAAATACATAAAAAAGAAAAGATAGGGAATACAGTGAAAGAATGTAACATTTAGTCCTGGAAGGAAAGGAGAGAGAAAATGAGACAGAAGCAACATTTCAAGGGATAATGGCTGAGAATTTTTCAAAATTGATGAAAGACTTAAAGTCATAGTTTTAAGAGTCATTGTAATCCTCAAGTAAGATAAATAAAAACAAAAATGATAGTAAAATTCTGCTGAAAGGCAGACAGAAAATTTAAAGCAAAGAAAGTGAGGTGGTAGGTGAGGAGAGATTATCCTCATAGAATGAATCATAAGACTGACAGCTAACTTCTTTACAGAAATAATAGAAGACAGAAGAATAAAATCTTTGAATTTTGGAATTCTATCCCTAGCAAAAAGAACTACCAAGATTGACAAGGAAACAAAGGCATTTTCAGGTAAACAACAACTGAGAGAATTTACCAGAGGCATCTTTGTAATAAAGGGAACACCAAAGAACATTCTCAGGCAAGAGAAAAGTGACTCTAATTTTTTAGAGATGGGGGATGAAATGGAGAGCGAGAGAAATGGGGTAAATAAATGAGTAAATCCAAATGAATGTTGTTCTTCAAAAAATGATATTAATGCTATGCTTTGGAGTTTAAAAACATAATTGTTTAAAGTCTCAACAGAAATGAAGGATCTAAACAAAATTAAAGTATTATAAAGTCCTTTGCATTTTGAAGTAAAAGTGTTAATGATGTTAGCTTCGTTTTTTAAAATTAATTTTTTTTTTTTTTTGAGTAGGAGTCTTGCTCTGTTGCCCAGGCTGGAGTGCAGTGGTCTGATCTCGGCTCACTGCAACCTCTGCCTCCCAAATTCAAGCGATTCACCTGCCTCAGCCTCCAAGTAGCTGGGATTACAGGCGCCCGCCACCACACCTGGCTAATTTTTGGGTTTTCAGTAGAGATGGGTTTCACCACGTTGGCCAGGCTGGTCTCAAATTCCTGGACTCAAGTGATCTGCCCACCTTGGCCTCCCAAAGTGCTGGGATTACAGGCATGAGCCACCATGCCTGGCCTGAATGCTGTAATTTCTGTAACTAAAAAGTAATTAAAGATTGTAAAATGCCAAATTAACGGGAGAAAATTATTTTAAAATACCAAGTTAATTCAAAAAGAAAGCAAAATGGAAGGGGGGAGGAGGTACAGGAGAAGGAACTAGAATAGGCAAGAGAAGCATGAAGCCTAGGAGGATGTAAACCCCAATATATCAAGACATACGTTAACTACATAGCAACTAAATGCTTTTATTAAAATATTAATAGCTGGATTTATTTATTTATTTTAATTTTTTTTTTTGAGATGGAGTTTCACGCTTGTTGCCCAGGCTAGAGTGCAACGGCATGATGTCTGCTCACCACAACCTCCGCCCTCTGGGTTCAAGCGATTCTCCTGCCTCAGCCTCCCAAGTAGTTGGGATTACAGGCATGCGCCACCACGCCCAGCTAATTTTGTATTTTTAGTAGAGATGGGGTTTCTCCGTGTTGGTCAGGCTGGTCTCGAACTCCCAACCTCAGGTGATCTGTCTGCCTTGGCCTCCCAAAGTTCTGGGATTACAGGCATGAGCCACCGTGCCCAGCCTGAATTTATTTTTAAAACAATTTTATGCTTTAGAAGAGACACATTTAAATTTTGAGAACACAGAAAGATGGAAAGTAAATGAATGGAAAAGATATAGTGTACAAACACTAATGAAAATAAAACTGGTGTAATTTAATATCACATCACAAAGATTAATATCAGAGAAAGTTCACTGAGGTAACAGGTATTCCTAGACATAAAAAGAGATACTTCATAATAATTAAATATTTACTTCAACAATAAGGTATAAGAATTCTAAATTTTCAGCAAATAACATAGCTTCCTCAATAATTGATAGAAAAAGCACTTTAAATATAGAAGCTTTGAACAAGACAATTAACAAGCTTAATTCAAATTGGCATATACAGAACAGTGTACTTACTATTACATAATGTTCATAATGCAAATAATTTTTAAGTACACAGGAATATGTATAAAACGTGATCCCATGCTGGGCCATAAAACAAGACTCAACTAATTTCAAAATGTTAAGATTATACAGAGTATGTTCTGATGACAGTAGAATTAAGCTAGAAATCATTAAGTAAAATATTACTAGAAAAAACTCAAATATACCTCTACATAAGTCCTGGGCCAAGGAGAAATCACAGCGGAGGTTAGAAGATATTGCAAACTGAAAAAGGATTACAGTATGACATTGAAATTTTGGGGATGCAACTAAATCCATGCTTCAAGGAAAATGTATGATTTTAAATAAACTTTAAGAATGTTTTAACTGTACATTTAAATTTACAAAAAATTACAAAAATAAGTTTAAAATTTAAATTTACAAAAAATAAATTTGGAAAGGAAATGCTTTAGGGAAAAACAGCAAAGTAAACCTAAAGAAAGTAGAAGAAAAGGATAAATAGATGAAATAAATTAATAAAAATAGAGAGGACTTACAAAGCCAAAAGTGGTTTCTTTGAAAAGACTAATAACATTGACAAGCTCCTGGTAAGACTGGTGCAGGAAAAAGTGATGGCATAAATAACCAGTATCAAGAATGTGGAAGGGAACATACTTCAGATCCTACAGATCTTACAATGAGAATCTTAATTATCATAAAGATAGTAAGATTTTAGACACAACTCTATGCCGGTAAATGTGAAAATGTAGAGAAATGGACAAATTCCTAGAAAAATAAAACTTAACAAAACTAAGTGAAAGAAATGGAAAATCTAAATAGTACTATAATTATTAAACTAAATATGTAATTAAAGGTCTGTCCATAAAGAAGACTCCAAGATTAAATGATTTTACCAGTGAATTCTTTCAAACATTTAAAAGAAAAATAATGGTAATTATATTGATTATTGCTGCAAAACACAGTATCCCAAAACTTAGTAACTTTAAACAACATTTATTATCTCACAGTTTCTATGGGTCAGGAATCCAGGTGTGGCCTACCCAGATGACTCTGATCCAAGGTTTTTCCACAGGGAAGCTCTTGGCTGGGGCTGCAGTCTTATCTGAAAGTTTGATTGGTAAAGTGTGTACTTCCAAGCTCACTTATGTGGTTGTTGACAGGCTTCAGTTTTTCACAGGCTGTTGACTGAAGGTGTTACTTCTTCCTTTGCTGTTGGCCAGAGACCTTACTCAGTTTCTTACCATGTGGGTCTCTCCATAAGGCTGTTCACAACATGACAGATGGCTTCCTCAGACTGAGCAAGGGATGGTGAGCACTGAAGACTGAAGCTACAGTCTTTTTGTACCCTAATCTTGAAGGTGACATCCCTTCATCCCTGATAGATTATATTCTTAGAAATGAGTCACTAAATCTGGCCCACACTAAAGGGGGGTTATTACACAAGGGCATGAATACCAGGATAATAGAATTTTTGGGATATGATCTTAGAGACTGCCTACCATAGTAATCTTACACAAATTATTCCAGAGATTAAAAGAAAAAATACATCCCAATTTGGGGTTGTATTATTATGGGACCAGAATAAGTTAGCATCAGATTATGACAATTGTATTACTAGAAAGAAAAATTATAGACAATGCCATTATGAACATAGATGCAAAAACTGAACAAAATATTAAAAAACAATGTAGTAATGCATCAAGAAAAGAATAATACATCACAAATAAGTCTGGATTATTTTATGAATCCAAGATTGGATTACCATTTGAAAATCAAATAAAAGGCCAGAAAGCCTAATAGAAATTATGAGCAACACAGATTTGAACAGGAAACTCATAAAAGAGAGTATCCAAATGGCCAATAAAAATGTTAAAAAGTTCTCAAGCTCACTAATCATGGGGAAAACAGATTAAAACCACAATGTAATACTATTACACAGACATACACACATACCACACATGCCAGAGTGTCTATAATTTAAAAGACTGATAATATCAAGTGTTGGTCAAAATCCACAGCAATGGGAACATACATAGTACAGTTGGGAGTATAAACTGGCATAACATTTTGAAAAAAATGTTTTGCATTATCTACTAAAGCTGAACAGAGCTGTGCCCAAAGACCTGGAAAATTCATTTCTAACAGAAATTGTGTCCATGTATATTATAAAACACATATAAGACTTTATAAGAGCATAATATATAAAAGCCTCAAATTGGAAATAAATATCCAACAGGAGTCAAGTAGATAAATTGTGGTGTATTCATCCAATGGAATACTATACAGCCTCCCAAAATGAACTAACTCAGCTGCCTACAATAATATAAATATATATATATAGATAGATAATATATAACATAATATTGAGTGAAAGAAGTTGAATGTAAAATTAAATATACTATATGGTTTCCTTTATATAATGCTTAAAATAGTAAAACTAATACCTGGTAGTGGTAGAAGACAAAATAGCAGCTACCTTGAAGAGATGGAAGCATGCAGGGATTGGAAGATGGGTCAAGGTGGCGCTTCTGGGGTGCTGCTAGTTTTCTAACTCTTGACGTGGGTGATAGTTACACAGGTATATTCTCTCTGGATAATTCATTGCGCTGTGCACTTTTTAAAACTATGATTATGTTTATCCAAACTCGTGTTTAATATTTACTGAACTCTATGTTAAATGCTAGAATTAGAAAAATGAATCAGAAACAGTGCTTGGCTTCCAAGAATTCAGAGTCTAACTGTGGACAATGACTTATAGACAATTCACTAACAGATTACAAGTGCTATCAAGGATTAATATACAGAATAAGATTAGGACCAGTCCTGCCTCGTGGGATCAGGGATTGGTTTTTTTTAAGGAGTCGACCTGTGAATTGGTCTCATGATTTGCCATTGTGAAAGTTGTCAGGATCAAAATGGAGTCATTTGTGTTAAAAGCCCTGACAAATAGAGCTGAGGAAGGCCATGAATGCAGGGCACTCATGCATGAATGCCTGATAACAAGAACTACCACAAAAGACTTTGCAAAAACCACAACCTTGTACAAAGGCCCTTGCAACCCTAACACACACAAAAACACTTCTGTGAAGACGTCTGCCTAGCAACTGCCTGTCTAGCCTCAGACTGGCACTATCCTTGCTATTAATCCTTGTAGCCATGGATAATTATCTCAAAACAATTATGTAATCCTCATTTTCCTTTAAAAGCCTTTTAAATTAATCTCCCTGAATTCGCACACACTTGACTATGGCGTGCATATTCCCATTACAACGCCCTATTCCCAAATAAACGTAATTGTCTTTTAGAGAGTCTCCCTCTCTGTTTGTTCTTTGGATTGGCACCTTTCAACAAGTGAAAAAGAGGGAGAGGGATGTTGTATTAGTCTGTTCTCGCATTGCTGTAAAGAAATACCTGAGACTGGGTAATTGATCAAGAAAAGAGGCTTAATTGGCCCACAGTTGCACAGAGCATGATGCTGGCATCCACTCAGCTTCTGGGGAAGCCTCAGGAAACTTACGATTATGGCAGAAGGCAAAGCGGGAGCAGGCATGTCTTACATGGCCAGAACAGGAGCAAGAGAGAGAAGGGGGAGGTGCCACACACTTTTAAACAACCAGATCTCATGAGCACTCACTATTGCAACAAAAGCACTAAGGGCCCTGTGGTGTTAAACCATGAGAAACCACCCCCATGATCCAATCACCTCCTGCCAGGCCCTACCTCCAGCATTGGGGATTACATTTCAACATGAGATTTGAGTGGGGACATGGAGCCAAACCATATCAGATGTTCTACGTAGAAAGTGCATGAAATGAACAAAGCTTAAAAATGCAGGCATGTCCACGCAGCCACTCAAAAGATAATGAGAAAACTCAATACTTTACAAATTTTGCATCAGTGCTAAAGACTGCTGAGAGGAGGGTCTGCCTCCAGTGGACATGGGTAAAAATAGAATCAGCAGAAGTTTTCCTTTCTAATCCTAAACTCCATGCCTAGTGCTATGGTCTGAATATTTGCATCCCTTTTTCTGCAATATGTGGATAGGTTTGTTTTGACATGTTGGTAATTTAAATCCCCTGAAGAGAGGGACCTCATCAGAGTGTGAGTCTTACCTCGATCAAAGTCATGTTCACTGACTGTCATACACATACTTTCAGCGAGTTTTTGGCTGGCTAGGGTAAGGTTTAGCTAGATTCTTTAGGCTTGGGTAAGGACTGCATGCTTTGATTGTAGCAGTTTTGTCATTAGTCTCTTGGTCACATGTTGCATTCACAAGTTGAAATCCTAAGCCCCTGGCCAGGAGAGGTGGCTCACACCTGTAATCCCAGCACTTTGGGAGGCCAACATGGGTGGATCACCTGAGGTCAGGAGTTCGAGACTAGCCTGCCCAACATGGTGAAACCCTGTCTCTACTGAAAATACAAAAATTAGCCAGGCATGGTGGCGCATGGCTGTAGACCTAGCTACTTGGGAGGCTGAGACAGGAGAATCGCTTAAACACAGGAGGCAGAGGTTGCAGTGACCTGAGTTCGCACCACTGCACTCCAGCCTGGCCAACAGAATGAGACTCTATCTCAAAAAAAAAAAAAAAAAAGAAAAGGAAAGAAAAACCCTAAGCCCCAAGGTGACAGTATGAGGAGGTAGGGCCTTTGGAAGATAATTAGATTACAAGGGTGGAGACCTCATGAATGGGATTAATGCCCTTATAAAAGAGAGCTGCCTTCCCCCTTCCACCACATGAGGACACAGTGAGAAGGTGCCATCTGTAAACCACAAAGCAGCCCTCACCAGATACCAAATCTGCCAGGGCCTTGATCTTGGACTTCCCAGCCTCCAGAACTGTAAGCAATAAATTTCTGTATTCTATAAGCCACCCAAATCATAGTTTCCTGTCATAGCAGCTTAAATTGACTAAGACACCTGGATCTTAGCTTCTTTAGAGTGGATTTATTTTGCATTCTGTAGTAGCTAAGCACTAACAGAAGTAAATATTTAAATTACAAAATTGTGCATATCTTTAGGGGAAAAAGTGAGCACTTCTGTGTCCCCGTTTACACTCTGCTCTCCAGATGCTGATGACGCTTCCCAAAGCACAGCAAGAAACACGCCTACTCCATGGCTTTCTGAGTTTCTGTCTGCTCACACTGCTGATGCCAGCACTGCTGTCCCCACTTGCAAGCTGGGACATCCCCTAGATAACTCTCCAAGTGAGCGGATGGTAAACTGACGTTGAGGGGAGACACTGCGGTCCTATTTTGTGCGTGCCTCTGCTGTCACATTTAACACAGGGCTGTGTAGTCATCTATTGAGGTGTCTGTCTCTCTGACTAGACTAAGGCTTGTGGTGAGGACCATCTATTCATGTTGTCCTGTTTGCCAAGCACAGTGGGAGGCAAAGGGATGCCCCACGGGTGCTTAACAGGCATTTGCTGAAACAAAGTGCAGGTGGAAAGTGGCCCTAATAGTGCAGCTGTGGCATCAGTGAAGCTGATCGTTAGTTCCATGAGGGAGTGGACTGACAAGAGGAGCATTTGTCATCCACATGAAAACACCTTTTGAGCATGAAAGTGGGTGTCACTAATACATACAGTAGGACAAAACCAGGATTTTCTGGAGGAAACAGAGGTACGGTCACCTTCTTATGACTGTCAACACAGGATTATTACAAGGTGTCTGTGAGTCACCCTAGGAAGTCCTGTGTCCCTTGCGTTCCATCCAGAGCAAGCTTAGGGAACACTCTTGTGCATTTGGGATCTCTGGAAGCAAAAGTTGCCCTGGGACTAGAGTTGGCTTCCTCCACCTGCATTTCCCCAAGAATCCTAATGGCGACACACTGTGTTTTCAACAGTTGAGCTCCCGCCTCATGTGGAATCTGTGGGTTCCTGCTAAATCACCAGAGTGAGGTGTTGGTGCACCTGGTGTGAGCCATCACAGTGACCCACGCAGGTGCTGAGAGGCAGGGCTTTGCTGCTGCTTGGTTGCTGTGGCCAGTGTTTACTTGACAGCACCACGCTGTGCTTGCAGGGAACACATGTGTGGTACAGCATGCTCTCCCTCTGCCCTGGTCTTCTGCTTCAGAGACAGGACCTTCCCCAGAGCAGGGTTTCCATCCTGCTTCTCTGTCTACATTAGGGGAAAGCTTGCTGTTTTTTATCTCACTCCGGGAACTGCCGAGCCACCGTCGGGGTGGTTTCCCTGATGGCATGGGGATAAGTTCAGGAGACAATAAACCTCTTGGTAGACAGAAGACTTCCTAAAATATGTAGTCTGACAAAAAGGGAGATGAATGACAAAGATATAAATTTGCAATGAAAGAAAACAGTACCCCCAGCACCAAAAAATACTTTCCGTGCTATGTAAGTTATGCATAAACACTACAGCCGATTCACATTTGATAAACTATTAACTTCCCCATTTCTTTGATAGGAAGGCTGTGGAGTGAGATAAAGCAGGATTGCACCATGGAGGACAAACATCTCGGCATCCAGTACACTTCAAAATGTTTCTTTTTTTTTGTTTTCAAGACTGGCTGCTATTTCCTCCATGCCTCTTGTTTATTAGCGTGTTGACTCATCTAGAGCCCAGCGCCTTGTTCCACACCAGAGAGATGGACTTGTGCCTCTGCCAAGTGGAGTCGGCTCGAGAGATAACAGCCAGCCACAACAATGGTCTTCCTCAGTCCCTCGGCCAAAAAGACCTTTGGCACAGTGAGCTGAGAATGACTCATCCCCAGTGCCCTGGAAGGCTCCGAAGTTCTGGGAGCACGGAGTGGTTGTTTGCCAGACAGAGATAACAGGCAGGATGCCGCAGAGAGCCAGACGTGCTCCGAACTCAGGGCCCCACCTGGCAGACGCAGAAAAGGAAAAAGGGATGAAGCAGCCAGTTAGCACATGGTTTCCCGGTTGCCCAGTCCATGCCGTCAACACCATCCAACATTCTGAGGTTTGCCAAAAGGATCTCGTTTACTCCTGGGTCACGTAAAGAGTACTTAACTTTTCCCCCCACTCCTTGCCGTCGTCTTAAGAGTACTTAACTTTTTTAAAAAGACTAATGCAATCAACTCATCTTGAAGAGTTTGCTCACTTTCCATTGCCCTTGGAAAAAAAAAATGCATGATTATCTGACAGGATGAGGGTTTGATTGTCACATAAGTCATTCTCTCGATGGTTGACACATCCTTGACTCTCAAAGGATGGCGTTGATAACCTAGAGAGGCAACTGAGAATAGCCTAGGACTGGACCTGCTTGTTCTGAGCTGCCTAAAGAGCCTCTGAAACTAGTGTTAACTGTTCCACTCACTAACCTTGCCTTTATGAGGTAGGAGGTGGGACTCAACTCTGGAGACGGGGCTCAGACACTGGACCAAATTAAGGACTAGCTACAACAGGACCAGGGTGGAAGCAGCTTTCCATAAGGCGTGCCCACCAGTGTGCCATGTCAGTTTACCATTGCCATGTCAACACCCGGGCGTTATCGCTCCTTTCCATGGCAATGATCCGATGACCCAAAAGTTACTAACCCTTTCCTAGAAATTTCTGCATAAACCATCCCTTAGTCTGTATATAATTAAAAGTGGGTATAAATACGACTGCAAAGCTGCCCTGAGCTGCTCCTCTCTGCTTATGGGGTTGCCCAGATCTGCAGGAGCAGTCATGGAGGTATAACACTGCTGCTTCAGTTAAGCTGTTTTTGTCTACCTCCAGCATGCCCTTGAATTCTTTCCTGGGCAAAGCCAAGAACCCTCGTGGGCTAAGTCCCACTTTGGGGCTCACCTGCCCTGCACCATTTAGATGTAGAGATGGCTACACTGCTTTGCAGGCTTCTTTAGCCCAAGTCATTAGATGCACAGGTAGCCATCACCTTTGAAAGATTCTGTTGTAAACTTGTGATAAAAATGCCTTTCATGGTCTCATAGACATTTTTTATAATAACTAAAATAGTGATTGTTTTCATTACAAGCTCAGTATTGTACTATAAATCACTTAACTGCTGAAGTACAATGTAAGTCCTGAATGGCAATGTCAGTGTTATTAACCATTATTAACTCAAGGACAGTGGGGAGTAAGGAAGATGAGTTCTGTTTCATCATTTTCCAAAGTCACAGAGCTTGTTCTTCAACAGTGACTCAAAGCAAATGCCATAGCCTGCTTTGTTATAAGAATTTTGATACATAGTTAATATTTACATAATGACTTACAATTCAACATGAAAGCTCCCATGTCAGTACTAAGTAACTTAATTACACCATTTATAAATACAGTACTGTCGGCCCTCCCTACCCTTAGGCTTCCCACCTGCAGATTCAACCAACTGTGGATCAAAAATATTCAGAAAAGGCCAGGCGCAGTGGCTCATGCCTGTAATCCCAGCACTTTGGGAGGCCGAGGTGAGCGAATCACGAGGTCAGGAGTTCAAGACCAACCTGGCCTACACGGTGAAACCTTGTCTCTACTAAAAATACAAAAATTAGCCTGGCATGGTGATGCGTGCCTGTAATCCCAGCTACTTGGGAGGCTGAGGCAGGAGAATTTCTTGAACCTGGGAGGTGGAGGTTGCAGTAAGCTGAGATTGCGCCATTGCATTCCAGCCTGGGCGACAGAGCAAGACTCTGTCTGGAGAAGAAAAAAAATTTCAGAAAAAAACAATTAAAAATAACAATACAACAACAAATAATAACACATATAAGAATCAATGCAGCATAACAACTATTTGCGTAGCATTTAGATTGTATTAAGTATTAAAAGTAATCTAGAGATTTTTAATGGATATCAGGAGGATGTGCATAGATTTTATGCAAATATGGTGCCATTTTCTCTAAGGGATTTGAACATCCACAGATTTTGGTATCCACTGGAGGTCCTGGAACCAATCCCCCACCGACACCAAGGGACGGCTATATATTTTTTCCCTTGACCTAACACCTACTCACTTTTGGACAGCATTATAAAATAATCAGCATCATCTCCAGAAGTATTTATCAGGCATCTATCATGGTATTGTATTAATTAGGTCATCTACTGAAAGGCAGAATGTTCTTCACTTCAGATTTTACAACACCCTTTTTTCATAATACGTGGATAGGTTTGTTTTTAAATGTTGGTGACTTAAACCTCCTGAAGAGAGGGACCTCATCAGAGTGGAAGTCTTACTTCGATCAAAGCCCGATCATACAACCTATTTTCAGCATGTTTCTAGCAAGTTAAGGCGAAGCTTAGCTAGATTGCTTAGGCTTGGGTAAGGACCGCACACTTTGCTTGTAGCGTTCTTAGTCTCTTGGTCTAAGCAAGGCTGTGATTCACCATCTGAACTCAATAGCGCCGTTTCTTGCACTGGGTGGTTTGCTAAATTCACATAGATAACCCAAAGAAAGTTCAAGATCAGAAAGAGAGAAGATTGACTTACTTGTTATGAGGGAATTTTCATTCACAGAGCCATAAAAATATAATCATGAATTTTGTGGATACTGCGTCCTTTGGGCCAGCCATCTAGGGTACAGATGGGACGTGATGCCATTGTCTAGAAGCCCTAGGGTTGCAGGTGGCTGCTGGCAAAGCGACCCACCATCCATCCCTTGCTGCATCGGGATCAGGGGCCGTTCCATGAGCTGCTGCCCTGAGAGGCCTCGGTGTTTCTGTTCTTTGCCACCCGCTTCTGTATGTGAATCACTCTGAGTATTTACATCCTTTGACATTATTCCTGTTTCCCCGTATTTTCATGTCCATTAAGCTGATACTGTATAGGCTTGATGACGGTGTCTTTTTCTCAGTGATTTTCTCCACACAGTAAAATGGTGCCCAATGGGAGAATAAAGTCTCCTTGCTCCATAGAAGGCCTGCACTTTACATGTATATATGAGAAAAAGCTGGTTTCTGTTAGTCTATAATGTATTAAGATGTGGTTAGTGAAAAACTGCCTTCCAAAATTCAGTTAATATAGAAAATTAAGTATTTTTAAAAATTTTTCAGACTGCTTATTGTAGAATGAAATTGGCCCTTGTCTTATCTCAGCCACTTTACCCCCAATCTGGACATTTTATTATAAATACAGTTCTGCTTTCAGACCATCATATTTTTGGAAAAGAAAATTGTGTAAGGTAAAAGTGATTACATTCAACACATTTAAGGCAAATCATCTGAAAGTTAAAAAGAAGTAAAGACAATCTGAATTCCTACCATATTACTGTATTTTCTGAAATATAAGGTGCACTCAATTTTTTTACATGCTCCCTTTGCTGAAGCGGAATAATATCTTACAGTGGATATTTATACTTCACTGTATAAATATCCCTGACTTATGATGGTTCAATTTAATGATTTTTCAATTTTACAGTGGTGTGAAAGTGATATGCATTCAGTGGAAACTGTACTTCAAATTTTGAAGTTTGCTCTTTCCCTGGACTAGCAATACCATATTCTGTAGAGTATTCAGTACGGTAATCTCTCTGGATGCTGGGCAGCACCAGTGAGCTACAGCTACCAATCAGCCATGCAATCACAAGGCTAAACAACTAATACTCAACAGTGTATTGCATTGCCAGAAGATTTTTGCCCAACTGTAGGATAAGGTAAGTATTTGGACATGCTTAAGGTAGGCTACGCCAAGCTATGATGTTTGGTAGGTTAGGTGTATTAAATGCATTTTCAACATCTGGTATTTTCAACTTACTATGGGTTTATTGGGATGTAACCCCATTGTAAGTCGAGGAGCATCTGTATTTCATGAGCAGGTGTTCCTTTTCTCCCCAGCTCCCCCAAAGTCTGTCATCATCTTAAAATTAGTGACATCTTAAAATTAAAGGAATAAAGAGTTTCAAGAATTAAACAGAGATGTAATTTTTCTAGATTTCCTCAGAGCCTGTAATTTCACATATTAAAGTTTAAAGATTAGATTTTTTTTAGTTTTGATTAAGTGGCTGTGATACATATACTTAATGTCACATACAAGAGTGATCATCCTACTCTACATTTCTTGAATAAGGTGTAAGCAAAATTATTATCCATTATAACATTTAGAATTCCTTAATTACTGACAGTTAATGACTCAGAATGGTAAGAAATAAAATATAAAATTCAATAATGTTCCCACTTGAAGGTAGGCCTCTGAAATTCCCTATATATCCTGGCAACTATTGTGTAATGCATATGTGCATATACAAGCAATGTGTACAGGCTCTTTGCATTAGGCCATTCTTGCATTGCTATGAAGAAATAACTGATCCTGGGTAATTTTATAAAGAAAAGAAGTGTATTGGCTTATGGTTGTGCAGGCCGTACAGGAAGCGTGGCACCGGGCATCTGCTCAGCTTCTGGGGAAACTTCAGGAAGCTTACAGTGATGGTGGAAGGTGAAGGGGGAGCAGGCATCTCACATGGTAAGAGTGGGAGCTCAGGAGACCACTATACTTATGATTACAGTCTCATTATAAAGGATACAACTCAAGATCAGCCAAATGGAAGAGACTTATAGAGTAAGGTCTGGGAAGGTCCCAGATGGAGAGTGTCCATGCCCTCCTCCATGGAATCTGAGCACATCACCCTCCCAGGATATCACTGAGTTGTTCACCAACCAGGAAGCTCTACTGAGCCTCGGTGTCCAGAGATTTTACTGGGGCCTTATCATATAGACATGATTGATTAAATCACTGGCCACAAGATTGAACTCAGTCTCTACCTGTCCCCTCCTCTCCCTGGAGGTTGGACTGGCTAAGAATTCCAACACTGTAATCACACAGTTGGTCTTTCTGGTGACCAGCCCCCATCTTGAAGCTACCTAGGGGCCACCATGGATCACCTCATTAGCATAATAATTCCTGTCATTCAGGAAGTTCCAAGGGCTTTTGAAGTTCTGCCCCAGGAACAGGGAATGAAAACTAGATCTATGGTCTCCATTATACCACATTATACAGATTTTGTATAAGGTTCTTATTAGTGGCTCTAACTCTTACCTTTCTACTGGCTTACTTACAGGCTACTGCAATCTTGCAGCATATCTTGCTATCATCTGAACTTCAGCAAATTTCAAGTTATGCTTAGTGTCATGTCCCAAATTAGCTTCCCCAGTTCCCCATGATCAATAAAAACCACTGCCCTCCTGGACATTAGAGCTCCAAGTTTTAGATTAACCCTTGACTCTCTCTTCTTATTAAGATTTTCTATAAATCTTGTCTGACTGCTGACTGCATTATTTAGATTACTTTCTAACCTTTTTGAACATACTTCTGCTTAAAAAGTGTTAAAAGTCCCAAAGCAAACAAAGCAGTTAGAATCTGGGTCATGTTAAGCTCTATATACTTCTTTACTTGTCCTTTCTCCCAGAGATTCCAGTATGTCAAGAATTTCTGGGCTAGATTATGGTTGAATTGCAAATACAAATTTAGTCATCCTCAGCCCTCCTGAATCTAAGATCACCAGTAGTAGTGTTTGAGGGAACTGCTCCCTGGGTCCTCAACAAACTGCCACTAGATATCTTGCAAAGCAGGTTTTTGCATTTAAACCTGGAGGGTGGCTGGGTAGCATGGGAGTGGCAGGAAGACTTGGCAGGCAGTAGGTGGTTGCAGGTTACAAACAAGCTGATCTCTTTTTTCCTTTTCTTTTCTTTCTTTTTTTTCTTTGTTCATCTATTCCATACATCCCTCAAAGCAACATTTCCTGGCCTACTTCTTTAGTGCATCCATTCACTCATTTGAGCCTTTGTTTATTCATTTATCCAGTCTCGAGTGCCTCTTCCAGGCCAGGTACTGTTCTAGCATCAGGACAGAGCAGTGTTTAACAAAACATGGCACCCATCCTCTGCAAAATCCCAGCCTAGAGGCTGAGGCAACAGATAAGTAAACAGATATACAAGATAACTTTAGATTGTGATAAAGGCTATAAAAACAATGTTAGGCTAAGGTGATAGAGAATGATGGGAGGCGGTGTGTAGCTTAGATCGGAAAGAAAAGGCCTCTCTGAGGAGGCAGCATTAGATCTTAAGTCAAGTTCTGAAATCAGAGAAATTGGGCCAAAATTTGTCCAGCTTGAGTTTGCTATTCACATCAGGAAAGCCTTCTGCCCTGAGAGCCCTGACATCCTTTCTGGGGGCCAGTGTGATAAGACCACATGATCAAGTTACTACATCCTCCCCTTATATGGCCCCCAGAAGCTCTTTTGGGGACACTGGTCCCCTGAGTGTCCCCAGAAGAGCTTCTGGGGGCCATACGAGTTTCCTGCTGAAGTGATAGCTCAGGACTGAGCCTTTTTGATGCTGCTCCTTTACATTCCACAGCTCAGCCTCTCACTGCCTCCCTTTCCCTCTCCCTCCCCTTCTCTCTCGCTTCCTAACTAAACCTCCCTCTGTTTATGTAGGGTGGTGAGTGAGTCTCTTTTTATGGCACACAGGTCACAGGCAGCCTGGCTGCCCTCCGTGAGGCCTTCTGCTTTCGGGCATCTTGGTGGGGAGCACACCAGCACCGCAGTGACAGTGACCTGGGAAGAATGCTGGGGGGCCAGGAGCGCTCCGCAGGCATTTGCTGCTTTTTTATAAGCAGCCTCTAGGTGACTGAATGCCTTACTATTAAGTCATGCAAGGGGAAAATAATCACTTTCGGGCTGACACCAAATATGAGTATGTTCAGCACCAAAGGCACCTTGCTCAGAATATTTTATAAACAGATTTTTTTTAAGTCTCAACTGTGGCTTAAAGATACACTTTTGTCGTAGTCCTTAATAGTAACTCATCTGAAATACACGTACGTCCATTTCTAGTCATCTGCATTGATACATCAGAATAATGTGTTTAATCCAACTTAATTTAATAGATTATAAAATACTTGTATGCAAATGTTTTTGTCTAGAAGTTCCAAAATTTCATTCTCACTTCCTGTTCTGTTCCTTCCACTCACCTTGTGCTCACCACTCCCCATGCCATACCGGGCCATCACTTCGTATGGCCTGGCAAGACTGTCTCTCCCATCTTCCCCATCTCACTTGTTACACTGAAAAATGGAAGTGGAGAGAAATAGAAATATACAGAGCATTCCCAGGGGCGTATCCTAAGGATAAGCTGGGATTCCTTTCAGGTGTTTCTCCTTCAAGCTCCTGCCAAACTGATAGCTATACCCCGATGAATTCACACAGGAAGTTAGAAAGTCAACAGGAATTGCCTCCCAAGCCAGAACACTACCCTAGCTATACTACTAGGGTATCGCCTGCTCTATAAAGACTTCATTAACCACTCATCAGGAATAGCCTGCTCGTAGATAATGAAAAGTTGCCTGTAGAAAACGTATTACACTCAAGAGAATAGTATCAGTGCAAGAAGTAGAAATAAACAAGCCAGCAATTCCCAAGACTGCTCTATCAACAGGGACTTAAGGCTCCGGGTAGAGCCCCCCACCAGTGTTGCAGGTTCATTCACTCCTGGGGCTCCTGGTTCCAATGTTGGACACTTCTGGCTATTAGAGAGTTCTTTCTTTTATTGGGCTGAAATTTCTCTCTATGCACTGGAAATATTTGTGCGCCTGATGGGAGGCATAGCGAGTAGAGAGGCTACAGAATCTTTCATGTGTCATATCCCTAGATGGAACACACTGATTTCAGTGAAGATTTTTATATCAAGTTTTTTCAAATTCCCTCACCAACCTGCTTGTCCTCCTTCTGAATTCTAATTTGTCTCTGTCTCTCAAATTGTGATGCTCCAACCCTCTTCTTTCAGTGCCCTCTCATTTGCTTTCAACCTCCCTCTTCCCTTCAATCCTGATCCCTTTTGGCCCCTTTTCCTCTGATGGGAATACTGGGATGGTATCCACTAGGTGATACTCCCACCTGAGAAGTTTAGCTGTATGGTACTCCTGTTATGTATTCCTAAAGACATTGATGGTGCGTGTGTGGATCTGAATATATATATTTGATGGGGGGTGGTAATTCCTGTGTATTTTTCTCTGTACTTGCAAACTCAGGAAGGGCAGGCATAGGACTGTACTAGGAGTATCTGCCTTCCCAGACAGAACTCATCCAAATGTCCCGAGACAACAGTAATAGCATTACATATTTATGTTGAGGGCTTATTTAATAACAGCCACTGTTTTTCTGGTGGCGGGGGGTTGGACAGAGTCTCGCTCTGTCACCCAGGCTGGAGTGCAGTGGCATGATCTTGGCTCACTGCAACCTCCACCTCCCAGTTTCAAGAGATTCTCCTGCCCCAGCCTCCTGAGTAGCTGGGATTACAGGTGCCCACCACCAAGCCTGGCTAATTTTTGTATTTTCAGTAGAGGCGGGGTCTCACCATGTTGGCCAGGCTAGTGTCGAACTCCTGATCTCAAATGATCCACCCACCTCGGCCTCCCAAAGTGCTGGGATTACAGGTGTGAGCCACCACACCTGGCCAACAGCCACTGTTTTAAAAGCATTACATAGGTTTTCTCATTTAATTTAGCCCTCACAAACTTACAAAGTAGGAAGCTACAGCTCAGAATGATTTCATAGCTGGCCCAAGGCCGTGCAGCCAGTATGGTGGACCCAGTATTAGAATCCACCTTCCCAGCCACCGTGACATCCTGCAGCCACGTTTTTGGTTTTTATTATGGTGTTAATCTTAGTAAGTTTGGGTGCTACAACAAAATGCCATAAACTGGGTGGCTTATAAACAACACAAATTTATTTCTCACAGTTCTGGAGGCTGGAAGTCCAAGGTCAAGGGACTAGCAGATTGAGTGTCTGGTGAGAGTAGTGTTTGCAGATGGTGGCTTTTTGCTGTGCCCTCATACGATACAAGGGCAAACAAGCCCCCTCTTCTGTAAGGGCCCTAGTCTCATTCATGAGGGCACTAATCCCCCTCATGACCTAATCACCTCTTAATGCCATCACACTGGGGATTAGGCTTCAACACAGGAATTTTGGGGGCACACAAATGTTCAGACCATAGCAGGTGCCTAATATAAATTATTTGTGGATTTACTAATAGTTAAAATAACCAAAACCTAACCTGTCTTCCAGTTTTATCCATTTTGAGTATCTGAAAAATTTTAAGCAAAGACTCAAAATGTTTTTAAAGTCAATATATCAAGTGAAAATCTGTGGATGTGGCTATATGAAGGTGTGTACTTATATTCTTCATGCTTGCGCTCTTAACACGGTTTGCACTGTAATTAATATAAGCACATCAAAATTGTGTACATGTCTTTCCTACACAATGAGCTGCAACAGAATGGCTGCTTTTTGTGTTTTTAAATAAACTTTATTGAGGTATAATTTATGTACAATAAGATGTGTACACTTAAGAGTTTGATGAGTATTGACAAATGTATAAATCCACGTACCAGCACCCTAGTCGAGGTACAGAACATTTCCATCCATCCAGAAAGCTGCTAGAAGTAGAATCATGCATACGTAAGTGGAATCTTTGTATCTGACCTCTTTCACTCAGCCTGTTTTTGAGATTCATCTATGTTGTTCTGTATATCAACAGTTCTTTTATTGTTATTGCTGAGTAGCATCTTATTACTGTATGAACATACCACAACTTGTGTATTCATTCACTCACTGATAGATGTTTGAGTTGTTTCCCACCTTTTGGCTATTTTGAATTAAGCTGCTGTGAATATTCATAGACAAGTCTTTTGTGGATGTGTTTTCATCTCTTTTTTGCAAAATCCTGGGGGCAGATTTGCTAAATGATATGTTAAGTGCATCCTTAACTTTGTAAGAAACTGCCAAACGTTTCCAAAATGGATGTTTTATTTTATATCCCCACCAGTGGTACAGGAGAGTTTCAGTTGCTCCACATCCTTGCCAACACTTGGTATTGGTAGTCTTTCTTTTTTTTAAGTATCAAGTATGCACTGAAAGATACATCAACATTAATACAGAAGAAACAGAGTCAAATCATTTAATCGAAATAATATAATAATATAATTCTGGCCGGGTGCGGTGGCTCACACCTGTAATCCCAGCACTTTGGGAGGCCGAGGTGGGTGGATCACAAGGTCAGGAGATCGAGACCATCCCGGCCAAAACGGTGAAACCCCGTCTCTACTAAAAATACAAAAAAATTAGCCAGGTGTGGTGGCACACGCCTGTAGTCCCAGCTACTCGGAAGGCTGAGGCAGGAGAATAGTGTGAACCTGGGAGGCAGAGCTTGCAGTAGGCCGAGATCGCGCCACTGCACTCCAGCCTGGGCAACAGAGTGAGACTCCAACTCAAAAAATAATAATAATAATAATAATATAATTATACATCTCGGGAAATTGAGAGCTGGAAACTTGGCAGGGGCTTCCACATTATGGAACAATTTCTATAGCTGCAATGAACTTAAAAAAAATACACTTAAACATTTATAAATGTATGCTTTGCCTGGAAGGAGTCTGGCAAAAACAACAAATAATCTTAAATGTATACATTTCATAAAAGTGCTAATGATTTTTCCCAACGCTTCCCATTCACCTTCACCCTACAGAGAGTTCTGACTTGGCTCATTTAATTTCTTCCCTTCCTCAGTCACTCAAAAGTGTTCTTCCATTTCTTGGTCACTTATTTGGACTTTTTTGATGTCCAGGCTGTAGGAAAAGCAGTTTATTTGAGAGGTAAAAGTGGCATTTGGGCTAGAGCTTGGTTAGAGCTAATTCTGAGAATGTTCTAGAAAGAGTTATCAGAGTAGTTGTTAAGTATGAAAAAAGCAGACAGCAGAAAATTATTGTGGCAGACTATATACATTACCTTCTCATCATAAAAACAAAGCACTCATTGTTTTTACTGAATTGCCTGGTGGTAGATGGGGTGTGTTCTTAACTAAGCACTGCCTTGACAAGACAGAGGGATGTGGTGCCATCATCTTTTCAATAGGAAATGTATATGTGCATATATTTGTGTATATGTATTTTTCCTATATTGATTGCTTATATACATATTCACATCCTTATACATATCTATGTTTTATAACTTGAACCTTGTTTTTTTAACTTTATTGAGGTATAATTTATAAAAAATTATATAATTCAAGTTGTACAACATGATTTTTGATACATGTATACATTGTGAAATGATTATCACAAGCTAATTAACATATTCATCACCTCAGATAGTTACCTTTTTGGGGGTGTGTGTGTGCGTGCGTGCTCGTGCAGTGAGAATACTTAAGACCTCCTCTCTTAGCAAATTACGGGCATATAATGCATTATTATTAACTACAGTTACTGTGCTGTACATTAGGTCTCTAGAACTTGCTTTGTTTTTTTGGGATAGAGTCACTGGAGTGCAGTGACGTGATCTTGTGATCTTGGCTCACTGCAACCTTCGCCTCCTGGGTTCAAGCGATTCTCTGCCTCAGCCTCCCACGTAGCTGGGATTACAGGCGTGCACCACTATACCCAGCTAATTTTTGTATTTTTAGTAGAGATGGGGTTTCACCATGTTGGTCAGGCTGATCTTGAACTCCTGGTTTCAGGTGATCTGCCTGCCTTGGCCTCCCAAAGTGCTGGGATTGCAGGTGTGAGCCACTGCACCTGGCCAACTTACTCATTTTGTAAGTGAAACTCTGTACCCTTTGACCAACATCTCCCCATTTCCCCACCCACAACTCCTGCCAACCACCATTCTCCTCTCTGTTTCTATGAGTTGGTTTTTGTTTTAGATTCTGTATATAAATGAGATTATTAGTAGTCTTTTTATTTTTAGCTGTTCTCGGTTCGGTATAATGGTATCTCTTTGTGGTTTTAAGTTGCATTTCTCTGATGACTAAAGATAGTGAGCATCTTTTCATGTTATTTTTGGTCATTTGTACATTTCGGGGGGTAGTGCCGATCTCTTTAGTTTATGGGCTGTGTGGTTGTGTGTTGTTTGTTCCATCGTTGAATAGTAAGAGTTATTTATATTTTCTAAATTTAAGTGCTTTGCCAGACTCATTAATTACAAATATTTTCTCCTGGTTGATGGCTTGCCTTTTAATTTTCTCAACAATTAGTTCATGTTTTAAAAAGTTGTACTGAGCAAAATTTAGCCAGGCATGGTGGCAAGTACCTGTAGTCCCAGCTATTGGGGAGTTTGAAGGGGAGGATCAATTGAGCCGGGAGGCAGAGGTTGCAGTGAGCCATGATGGCATCACTGCACTCCAGCCTGGGTGACCGCGCGAGACCCTGTCTCAAAAAAAAAAAAAAGTATTTAGTTGCCAATTCTTTATTTCCAATTCTTCATTGCAACTTTATTGACACATAGTTGACCACAATAAATTACATATGTTTAAGGTGTACAATTTGATGAGTTTTGACATGTATACACCATTGAAGCCATCATCACAATCAAGATAATGCACATTTCCTTCAGCTCCCCAAAAAACAGTTTATTTTGAAGAGCAAAAGTTTTTAATTTTGATGAAGTCCAATTTATCAAATTTTTCTTTTATGGTAAGTGATTTTTATGTTATTTTTGGGAAATCTGTGAAAATCTTTGCCTCAAGGAGCAAAATTTGTCTCCTATAATTTTACTTACATTTTCTCATATTTTTTCTAAATAATTGTAACTATAGTGTTAATTTTCTCCTTTAACCACTTATTGAGTTTTTAAACATTTTCTAAATAGCTTTTTAACCAAAAATTTTTAATTAGCTTTTAATTTTTTAAGTTATGATGAAATAATGTGTACTTTTAATTATATTTTTCATTTTTATATGTATTTCTTATATATTCAATCTGTATTTTTTGATGAATTGAGCCGTCAAGGCTAATACAGGGATGTTGAAGTGTCTCCCTTTCTCTCTTTATCCCGTTACCCTGTGTCGTGAGTTCCATCGCCGTGGTTCTTTCTAATTTGGTTTTGAGGTCTCCACTTTTGAGAGTGGCCAAAACCTGGCCGGGCGCGGTGGCTCACACCTGTAATTCCAGCACTTTGGGAGGCCGAGGTGGGCGGATCACGAGGTCAAGAGATCCAGACCATCCTGGCTAACACGGTGAAAACCCGTCTCTACCAAAAACACAAAAATTTAGCCGGGCGTGGTGGCGGGCGCCTGTAGTCCCAGCTACTCGGGAGGCTGAGGCAGGAGAATGGCGTGAACCCGGGAGGCGGAGGCTGCAGTGAGCCGAGATCGCGCCGCTGCACTCCAGCCTGGGTGACAGAGCGAGACTGCGGCACACACACACACACACACACACACACACACACACACGCCAAAAACCAAGAAGCCACTCTCTGGGAGAGCCCTAACAGCGTGGGGTGGGGGAGCTAGGTTCACCTGTGTCCATCAAGTGAGACAAAATGAGGGAATGAAACCAAAATGGCTGAAACAGAAGAACTGTATAACTTACAGATCCCGGAAAGGTCAGAGCTGCCAACAGGAGGCTAAGGAAAAGTCCAGGGGTGTCAGAGAGCTCAACCAGGGAGAGGGAGTGGGGAGTAAGGGAGAGAGGGGAGAGCGAGAGAGAGAGAGGACCTGTGGGATTATGCCTTTATTAAGATCCGTGGACCTTATCCCTTAGGGTTTCCCATGGGGGTTGTGGATTGGCTAATTTAAAAAAACGTGTGGTTGGGCACGGCGACTCATGCCTCTAATCCCAGCACTTTGTGAGACCGAGGCTGGTGGATCACTTGGGGTCAGGAGTTCGAGATCAGCCTGGCTAACAAAGTGAAACCCCGTCTCTACTAAAAATACCAAAAAAAAAAAAAAAAATAGTAGCGCGTGGTGGTGCACGCCTGTAATCCCAGCTACTTGGGAGGCTGAGGCAGATGAATTGCTTGAACCTGGGAGGCGGAAGTTGCAGTGAGCCGAGATTGCAGCACTGCATTCCAGCCTGGGTGACAGAGCCAGACTCCATCTCAAAAAACAAACAAACAAATTAATTAATTAGTTAAATTTAAAAATGTGCAAAAGGGGGAACTTACATCACTCTGGTGTTGATCATTAGGTTTTACTGTGGTCAGCAGCTGTGGGGTGAAGAGCAAGCAGGCTGTTTCACAAACAACCACACAGGGAGGGAACATTTTAACTAGACCAAAGGTGATAGGGTACGACTGGGTTTCAATAACTTACCGCAGGCCCAAAATGGATGCCAAAGCAGCAACTATACTAGATAAATGTATGCTGCCCTGTTTTATTTTGCTTTTAACATTCGGCACTGCCTAATCTTATAATCTTGTATAAAGATCTTGTACTTATTTCTTTATTGTACATTAACTGTCTCACTCACTAGGTTGTAAACCCCATGGGAACAAGGGCATTCTCTGGAACATTCCCACTGCTGGCAACATTTTTTGGCACATAGTAGGTACTCACTGTTGAATGAATTGAAAGCTTAATTCGCAGCCTGTGAGCAATGAAGAGACACATCCTAGTTCTTAAGGAGGATTAGAACTTTGTGGTTTTTCTCCCATAAAATGTCTCAAATCTGTATTGTGAATATTAAAATGAAGTTAATAAACTTTCTCTTCAAAGACAATTTTTACAATTGTTTTATGAACCTAGTTATAGTCTACATTAACTATACACAGTGTACATTCTTAATCCCTTTCATTCCTGGACTTGTATTTTAAGATCTCTGTTGAATTCAGTATTCAACTTTACATGTTGTCTAACCCTAAAGATAACTTTCCTTCCCGTAACACTAGAAAACATAATCACAGGAAATTCCGAAGAATTTCAGTTCCTAAAGTGGGAGATTGTAAGATCTGAAAGGAAAATGAGCTATAATAAGCCACAGAAGGTGAGAACCTGTGGAAGTTCGGGTTGTCAGTTGTCTCTTCAGCATATGAAGCTCTTCTTCATGTCATCATTTAATATACTTGGTGCTAAAATGACTCTCGTGGAGTAACCAAATCAAATCTGTATTCACTACAACAAAACTTTCCAACTTCCCCTGCCATTCTCATGTTTAAGAACCATTTATCTTTTTTTTTTTTTTTTTTGAGACAATGTCTGTCTCTGTCAGTCACTTAGGCTGGAGTGCAGTGGTGCGATCTCGGCTCACTGCATCCTCCGCCTCCCAGGCTCAGGTGATTCTCCTGCCTCAGTCTCCTGAGTAGCTGGGATTACAGGCATCTGCCACCATGCCCAGCTAATTTTTGTATTTTTAGTGGAGACAGAGTTGCGCCATGTTGGCCAGGCTGGTCTCAAACTCCACCCACCTCGGCCTCCCTAAGTGCTGGGATTACAGGCATAAGCCACCATGCCCAGCTCATTTTTCTTATATTGAATATTGACGATGAAACAAAGAGCAACCACTTTTCCTCTCGTGGCCCTACTTGCAGGGCTGGAATCTGTGACACTACTGTGCATCCCTTATTAACGTCCTAGTGGCAAGTACACTGAGGTGTGGCCTGATGGCCCATTCTGTGTCACTATCTCTACTCTCTCCAGGAACTGAGCCATACCCATATACATAAGAGATCCAACACCAGATGTCAAAAAGTCAATGTTTATTTAGGAAAGGAAATATGTCATTGAGTGATTAACTCCTAAAAGCAATGGTTAAACTTTTGAATCATTGGAATTGAGCACCACGTTTCTTCTTTACTTTGTAGTTGAGCTTATTTACTGGGCACTTGGGTTTTCAGTAAGAAAGCCACATGGTCGCTGTCAACATCAAGCGCTTCCTAAGACTAGTCTGTAAAATTAGCCTGGGAAATTACGGAGTTGATAACTTCCTGCTCTGAGAGGAGCTTTTGAACCTTTCCGGGGACCTACCGGGGTAGATTCCACTCAGATGTGAACTCCTGAAGGCAGGAGAAGCCTGTGCACATGGAAGGATGCTAAAATCCACAACTACGTGGCGGTGAATGGTGTAGGCTGCTTATAAGGAATGTTTCACTCAAGGAACATACGGTCCCCAAAACCATTGTCATTTAAAAAGCAGAGGCCGAGCACGGTGGCTTATGCCTGTAATCCTAGCACTTTGGGAGGCTGAGGCAGGTGGATCACCTAAGGTCAGGAGTTGGAGACCAGCCTGGCCAATGTGGCGAAACCCCATCTCTACTAAAAATACAAAAATTAGCCGGGCATGGTGGCCGACGCCTGTAATCCCGGCTACTCGGGAGGCTGAGGCAGGAGAATCGCTTGAACCTGGGGGGCGGAGGTTGCAGTGAGCTGAGATCGCACCATTGCACTCCAGCCTGGGTGACAGAGCGAAACTCCATCTCAAAAAAAAAAAAAACTTTAAAAAATAAAATAAAAAGGAGAGTAAAAAGTGGCCCCATCCTTCTATTGTGGGCAAGTTGCAGGTTATCTCAATGACCTGACACATAGTAGTTCTCAGCCACTGAGGCTGACAGGCACTGGTGAGCTTGCTTGGCTGGTTCAGTTGGTTACAGACTAAGGATTCCCTGTCTGTTTCCTTTCAGGTCAGTTCTCGTGGTTTAGAGGAAACACTCTAACCTGTGGTCACAAGCATTACCTTTGGCCAATTCACCCAAAGCCAAAGCATTTAAACTTCTATTATACAATTATATTCTTGGTTCCATAGAAGGAGACAGTGGTAAACAGCCCATAGAAGCCACTTTCTAAATACTATCCTTTCCCCCCCAGGCTTATTAAGATATGATTGAAAAATAGAAAATTGGCCAGATGGGGTGGCTCACGCCTGTAATCCTAGCACTTTGGGAGGCCGAGGCGGGCAGATCACAAGGTCAGGAGTTCGAGACCAGCCTGGTCAACATGGTGAAACCCCATCTTTACTAAAAATACAAAAATTAGCTGGGCATGGTGGTGCACACCTGTAATCCCAGCTACTCAGGAGGCCCAGGCTGGAGAATCGCTTGAACCCAGGAGGCAGAGGTTACAGTGAGCTGAGCTTGTGCCAGTGCACTCCAGCCTGGGCAACAGAGTGAGACTCCGTCTCAAAAAAAAAAAAAAAAAAAAAGAAAAGAAAATTAAAGTGTAAAACATGGTGTTTTGATGTAAGTATATCTTATGTAATAATTGCCACAAACAAGCTAATTAACATACCCATCACCTGAGATAGTTATTCTCTGTATGTGTGGTGAGAACACTTTAGGTCAGTCTCTTAGTGAATTTCAAGTACACAGTGCAGTATTATTGAGTGTAGTCACCATGCTGCACACTAGAGCTCTAGGACTTACTCATTAACTGGAAGTTCATACCCTTCCGTCAACCTCTCCCCATTTACTCCGCCCTCCCCCAGCCCCTGGAAATGACCTTTCTCTGTTTTCTTAAGTTTGACTTTTTTTAGATTCCACATAAAAGTGATATCTTGCAATATTTGTCTTTCTGTGTCTGGCTTATTTCACTTGGTATATCATCCTCCAAGTTTATCCACGTTATTATAAATGACAGGATTCTTTCCTTTTTTAAGGCTGAATAATATTCCATTACACAGTCTATCCTCTTGGTTTGTCCAACTTACAAGTTTTTTTCTAGAGATAAATGTTTCTTAATGTAGATGAGGGTATTTTAATAGTTACGTAGTAGGAAAATTAGATTGTCTAAAACGTATTTAAGTCTTTGTTAACATATTCATTTGATCAATATAGAGTATTTGTTTGGGACCAAGTTCTTAGAATACAAAAGCCAATAAGAAATAATTCCGGCCCTCAAAAAATTTGTAATGTGATTAATATGCGGTTTAGTTTGTTCAGAAGATACAGACTTTTTTGAGAGGAAAACAGTAATCTGATGCCATATGAAATTCAAATATTCTCACACATTCTACAAGTAAGCTTTTTATTTTTTCCTTCTTATTAAAAATATCAAACTTATTTATCTTGCCTTTGCAAGATAAATGGTAAATATCTATTCTGAAACTTTATTTCTAATAAACATTATAATTTATATATATTATATATCTGTGTGTGTATATATGTACACACACTGTAAAAGTATGTGTAAAAACAGTATGTATAAAAAAAGTACTTGGAGCTAATTTATATATATCTGTGTGTGTGTGTGTATACACACACAGATATATATAAATTAGATCCAAGTACACACACACACACACACACACACACACACACACACTGATATATATAAATTAGCTCCAAGTCCTTTTTTTTTTTTGTGGGGGGGATGGAGTCTCGCTCTGTCACCCAGGCTGGAGTCCGTGGCATGATCTCGGCTCACTGCAACCTCCACCACCTGGGTTCAAGCAATTATCGTGCCTCAGCCTCCCGAGTAGCTGGGACTACAGACATGCACCACTATGCCTAGCTAATTTTTGTATTTTTAGTAGAGACGGGTTTCACCATGTTGGCCAGGCTGGTCTCGAACTCCTGGGCTCAGGTGATCTGCCTGCCTCGGCCTCCCAAGGGGCTGGGATTACAGGTGTGAGCCACCACGCTCAGCAGCTCCAAGTACTTTTAAAAAGGAATCTCAGTTGGGCATCCTGTATAAAAATACAGTCCTGAGGAGTAGTCATTTTCATTAGTGTTTTAGTTTTACATATTCATTGTAGAAAATTTAGAATACACAAACCAAAAAGAAGAAAATAAAATTATTCATAATCCTATCATTCAGACACCACCACTGTTGTTTCAGTATATGCCTTCCAGCCTTTTATAATCTACAATAATAAACATTTATGTGCATGAGCAACAGTAACATCTCAGCATGATATAAGCCTCTCACATGCAATGTCTCATGTAATTAATGGGCTCAGGCTCTGATGTGTTTCCTGGCAGTTTTTAAATTAATAAATTGTGCGACACTTTTTTTTCATTAAATACTCTACTAAGATACCACTTTAAGTAACTGCATAATATTTTAAATAAATGTATTTAATCAAATTTTTTATTTTTTGAACTTTTTTTTGCTATTATAATAAATACTGTTGATGACATGTACTGTTTGCAATAACAAACAAAACAAAACCCAACAAGGAAGAAAATATTTTGTTACCTCCAAGAATTTTTTTTTTTTTTTTTTGAGACGGAGTCTTTCTGTGTGCCCCAGGCTGGAGTGCAATGGCACGATCTTGTCTCACTGCAACCTCCGCCTCCCTGGGCTCAAGCGATTCTTCTGCCTCAGCCTCCTAAGTAGCTGGGATTACAGGTGTGTGCCACCACACCCGGCTGATTTTTTGTATTTTTAGTAGAGACAGGGTTTCACCATGTTGTCCAGGCTGGTCTCAAACTCCTGACCTCAGGTGATCTGCCCGCCTCAGCCTCCCAACGTGCTGGGATTACAGGCATGAGACTCCGTGCCCGGCCTCCAAGATTGTTTTTGTTGGATCGATTCTTAGAAAGAGTTCTGAACACCAGGACTTGGGCAATTTTTAGCCTATTACTAGATATTACAAGAGATATTCTTCTTGTATTCAGTGTTTATATGTCCACAAGAAAATGGATTTAATGATTATCTGGTATTTTTCAGTAGTGTAAACAATCAGTTAATTTAGTACACAGAGTGAATGACATCACTCATGAGCTGCCTCTGCAGCAGCCACAAATTCTGAGTTGCTGGGAACTCATCTGACTGGCAAAATGGTGGAACGCTTTATTGGGCTCATGATACCTACTTAAAACACTCAGGGAGGCCATGCAGTTGCCTTTTTTTCAGCTCAAAGGAATAATTCTATTAAGTTTTTATAGGCTTAAATGCCTAATGAACGTTTTTATAGTTTAAAACCCACACCGCAACATTTTTCTACATAGGCCCCTTCCTTCACCATAACATGCAAGCTCTGAGACACGTGGCTAAGGAATTATCAAGAAAGATTAGGAGGAGAAGTAAGTGTAGCTGGCAGTGTGGGGATATCTGAATGTGGAGATCACATCTTGGGACCTTATGCCTTTGGGAGCTGTGGGCATCTTGAGACATACAGTATCCACTACCATCCCTGGAAAAGTCCCCAGAAGGTTCTGGATACTCTCAACATTGACACCAAAGAGAGCATGTAGATCCTCTATGTGTCCTTGCTGTCCAGCAACAATGGGTAAAATACCAAGATCATATGCAGTGTTCATATCAAGCAGTGAGGACATTAAAGAGGTCAATTCCAGGGCATGGTGACTTATGCCTGTAATCCCAGTGCTTTGGGAGGTTGAGACACAGGATTGCATGAGCCCAGGAGTTTGAGGTTACGGTGAGCTATGATTGCACCACTCCACTCCAAACTGCACGACGCAGCAAGACCCCATCTCTTAAAAAAAAAAGTAAAAATAAAAAACTAAAGAGGTCAACTCTAATATTCCCTTAACTCAAAAGGAAATTCATCTTTAAGACCAAGGAAAATGATAGTCTTGGGTAAATATGGAAGAACTGTAAAAATTCCTTCTAGAGAGACAAAAGGAAGAACAGGAAGAATACTGGTAAAGGCAGATTTGACCTCAAGCCTCTGTATGACTCATGATTTCCAGTTCTCTCATAATTTGGATTGATTGATTGGTTGGTTGGTTGATTTAGACAGGGGCTTGCTTTATCACCCAGGCTGGAGTGCAGTGGCACCATCATGCTCTCAAATGCCTGGGCTCAAATAATCCTCCCACCTCAGCCTCCTGAGCAGCTGGGACCACAAATGGGCACCACCACGCCCAGTTTATTTTTTTATTATTTGTAGAGATGAGGTCTTGCCATGTTGCCCAGGCTGGTCTCAAACTCCTGGGCTCAAAGGATCCTCCTGCCTCAGCCTCCCAAAGTGCTGGGATTACAGGTGCAAGCCATAGCACCCGGCCTCATGATTTGGATTTTATTCTGAAATATGCTACCATATTTATGACTTTGTTTTGTCCCTTTGAGAAAATGATATAGTGTAATTGGAAACTTAAAACAATTGTTTTCACAAAAATACCAAGAATGCAGGTTAAAAAAAAAACAAACTAATTATAACCAAGCATATTTGAGTACCTTTCCCTACCTTTTTAATAAACAATTAGACTCATTTATGGGTTCTTCAAAAAAGGAATTAACTGGTAGATGACTAACAATAGTAGTTCCTTCTTCTTTGCAGAATCAAGCTGTAATAAAAAAGGTAAATATCATCTGTACATTGGTGAACTTATCTAAATTGAAATAATCATATTTCCTCTGTTAGTTAAGAAGGTGGGAAAGTAGTTGAGTATTTACTTTGGTCTGCCTTGGATGCTAGCTGAGAGTCTTATTTTGTTCCATATCCTATTACTCATGAGTCATTTATAATGGGCTTCCTGAATTCATATTGGTACCTACACATTTAAAAAAATCAATTAGCGTCAGCCAGGAATATTTTCTTGGGTAACAATATTTTTAAGGCTAAAAAAACTAGTGCCATCAATGTATGGCATTCAATACATGTCCTTTGACTGTGGTTTAAAAGCCTGTGGCTTAAAAATGATTTTTTTTTTGGCCTTGAGGCAGAAATAAAATCATGAATTTAATTTGAAGTAGGACACTTTTCCAGCTTCTGTAGATTTAGCTGGGCCCAAGGGAATATAATTCTTGGTAAAATATTTCAACTCTCAGTATTGTACATTGAGTTATAAATATTGATATGGCTTTTCAAATAGGTTTTTCATTAAAAATGTGACTTTTCCCAATTTGTCTACTTCTTTACTATGATTTGTACTTCCCTAATTGTATCATATGTTAGAATATACCTACAATTTTATAAAGAAAGTTATTGATGATAAAATAAGCATAAACTTATTTTCTCACTAACTTTCAAAAAAAAATGCTATTCCATTAAATGAACTATGACCTGGGTGGTGTGAACTATCAACATGTAATATAGATTAAGTGATTATATTTAATATTTAATAATATTTAGTAGTCCTAAACTTATTCTTACTGTTGTTTATAGCATATATATACCCTCTATATAATACTGAAAGCAATATTTTATTTATGTATATTCAGCAAGAACATTTGTCAGTCATGTATCAAGCACTTACTATATGCTACAAGTCCTTACAAAGAATTTTTTTCTGTTAAAGGATGATAGTAACTTGGAAAAAAGTCTTCCTTGTGCTCTTTTCAGTGGCAATTAAGCATTCAACTTTAAAACGGCAGTTAAAGTTGCTTTAGTTATTTATAATGCTTCCATGTTTAAAGACATCTTTACTAGGCAGAGCACGGTGACTCACGCCTGTAATCCCAGCACTTTGGGAGGCTGAAGTGGGAGGATCGCTTGAGCCCAAGAATTCCAGACCAGCCATGGGCAACCTGGCAAAACCCCATCTCTACAAAAAATTTTAAAATCAGCCCAGCGTAGTGGCACATGCCTGGAGTCCCAGCTACTTGGGAGGCTGAGGTGGGAGGATTGACTGAGCCGGAGAGTTGGAGATTGCAGTGACCCACTATTGCGCCACTGCACTCCATTCTGGGCGACCCACTCTCAAAAAAAAAAAAGACATCTTTACTAACAGTTTTCAAGATACATGGGAAAGGTAGATACAGGTTTTCCAAATTCTTATTATTTTTTACTAATATTTTTGGTGTTTGCCTTTCTTTCAGTTCCTCTAGATTCCTATTGGGTGGCTGGATGGTAGGAAATTTTATGCTGCTGAATATACCCAGTGCTGCTGCAAAGTGCCCCTGCTGAACAGTTCTCCAGTCTCTGATGGATTTCCTTTCAGGGTCTCTCCGTAAAATATACCCATACTTGACTATATTATAACTAAGAGTTCCAAGAAACATTTGGGTAATTGAAGGAAGATAGAATTTTAAAATGGGGGTGGGTGAGCAGCTTCCTAAAACCTGGCTCTCCCTTGCGCATAGCCCTCCTTTGTGGCACGTTCAGGTGAAAGCTGCCTGCTATTCTCCCATGTAAGGGCAGACGGGGTGGGCCACCTGCCTGCCCCTCATTGCTGTTTCTTAACAAGGAAAAGGACAAGTAGTAAACTAGAAGCAGCTTTTCCACCCTCATGCAAGAGCCTTTTTCCCCTTGAAATGGAAACAATGCCACCTTTGTCTTTAATTCACAAATCTTTATGGAGAGTGGCAGAATTGTGTTAGCCTTGGGGAAACAAAAATGAAGGGCCCGATGCGGTGGCTCATGCTTGTAATCCCAGAGCTTTGGGAGGCTGAGCGGGGAGGACCCCTTGAGCCCAGGAGTTCAAGACTAGCCTGAGCAACATAGTGAGACCCCTGTCTCTACAAAAATTTTTAAAAATGAAGAAAACATAATCTATGCTATTTCTGAGCTTCTGCTGTCGGGAGGGAGATAGACAATCAACAGGTGACAATGAAATAGTCTCCCAGTGGTGTGAAGAGATAGAGAGCAGAAAAGTGTCTGCCCGACAGTGAGGCCAGAAGATCAGGGACCATTCCTGGAGGAAGTCAACAACTGAGTCCCACAGAAGGAGCTGGCCATACAAGAAAGGGGTGTTGTAGACAGACAGCAGCCTGCAAAAAGAACTGGAAATGAGAGAAAAAGAACCATCCCGGCTCAGAGAACCTGGAGGACTTCAGTATCTTGGGACTGACAATGAATGGCTGGGAGTAGGAAGAGCCAAAAGAGGCAGAGGTTGGAGATTGGGAATTTGGGTTTTATTCTGGAGCAGTTGGGCCTTGATCAGTTTTTAGCAATGCTGTGATGGTATGAAATTGGAATTAGAATTTAAAGGATTGGCAGTAGGTAAGACTGAATGGTAGGAGATCGGTTAGGGGAAGGATGTAGCTGGAAAGTCAGGCAAGGGAAGCTGAAGGCCCCCAACCAAGGCCACGGATGCCGAGGATGGAGAGGAGAGAAGGAGCTCTGAGAATTAGTGAGGAGTTCGATGGATGGGCTCAGAGCTGACTGGACAAAACATTGCACCCTTCAGTTGTGGAACTAGGGACTCTCCAAGTCAGAGCGCCCACTCTCAGCTCCATCACTCAAGCCTCCCACACAACTTTCTTCTGTCCTTTCGCTTCTCACTTGCCTTTTTCCTTTTCCCTCTTTCCCATCTTCCTGAGTAAAGCTAAGTTATTTATTCAGAGTGGCTTTCAATCTAGAAACTTCAGAATACTGCTTAGCCCCTTCCTTTCCCTCAACCCCACCTGGTCACTGTCGTTTATTGACGTCACTTGGGAGTTTCCCAAATCTGGCTCCTTTCTGTCAAACCAACCCTGCTGCTCTGACCAGGCCTCAGTTTACCTCTTCAGACCTCCCTTCTTTCATCTGCCATTTAAATCCTTGTTAGCCCTGCTTAGTGCTAAGAATGATCAGAGACAGGAGAAAGTGAAACCCATTCCTATTTAAAGATGGGATTTAAGCAAAGAACTAATAATGTTTGGGAATATTTTAAAACAATAATTTTCTCCATCATTTCTAGTTGAATAAGAGTTGGTCTAGTAATAGAATTATAACAATGTTTTCTAGAACACACCAAATTATATACAGTAGTGCTTCTTCTAAAATTCCCAATGAGGCCAGGCACGGTGGCTCACGCCTGTAATCCCAGCACTTTGGGAGGCCGAGGCAGGTGGATCACCTGAGGTCAGGAGTTTGAGACCAGCCTGGCCAACATGGCAAAACCCCATCTCTACTAAAAATACAAAAATTAGCTGGGCATGGTGCCACGTGCCTATGATCCCAGCTACAAGGGGACTGGGGCAGGAGGATCGCTTGAACCTGGGAGGCAGAGGTTGCAGTGAGCCGAGATCGCAACACTGCACTCCAGCCTGGTGACAGAGTGAGACTCCATCTCAAAACAAAATAAATAAATAAAATAAAATAAAATAAATTGCCAGTGAAAAAGCTACCTGTCCTTTTCTATCCTCATCTCCTCCAAGAAAAAGCTAAAATATTTTAATAAAAGATTTTTTAAAAGTCACCCCTATTGTATAAGAAAGTGATTATCCATTCTAAAAAAAGCAAAATGATTGCAAGGGATTGATTACTTTTGATGACGGCAAATAGCTTATTCAAATACTCTACACCATTGCACTTATTCTAAAATACAGATAATTAAAATGAGAAACCATTTCCTAAGAACACTATGGCTAATACTACTCTTTCTTTGCTTTTGTGTAGGTAGGACAAGTTCCTTAAGAGCTCTTGCCAAATAATGTGTTCTATTTAGGGCAGCTACTGATACCAGATTCACTTAATAAGTACTAATCTCTTTTAAACAGACTGTATGTGATACCGGATTAATAAAATAAGCTCTCATCTCTCATGATAACCCTTTGTTCCCGGGAACTTTCTCTGCTTGCCTCAAAGATGTTATATTTGAAGATGTTTATGCTTCAGAATATGTTTAGAAAACTTCTTTCTTGAATGGGAAAGGCTTTTCTGTATTGCCAAGCAGATGTGTTTCTGGAATGTGAAAACACAGACTATAAGCCATGGAAGCTTATGTAGCTTATCTATAGCAGAAGAATAAGAGTGCCTCCTCCTTCCTCTTAGAATTCAGTTTAAAGACAAACAAACAGACAATATGTGAAGGTATGTGCACTCTTTGTTGAAAGTCATAATACAAATATGATCCTGAGAAAGGTGATTTTGGAGAACCAAAATTGGTAAATTGCACACATTTGTGAGAATGCAAAGGTGACTTTAGCACTAACGGACTGTCCAGTTAAGGGGTGGCTGAGGGATAGGATGGGTTGTTATTGAAATCTGGCAAATCTCTGTTGGTGAAGTGTTTTGGAACTCCCAGGAATTTGTGAAGCTCCCAGGCTAAATCGGGAAAGGGGTGGGGGAAGCAGGGAGGTCCCCAGCACACCTGTATAACTTGGCCTACATTGATCTGAGAAGACCTCCTTTGTATTAGCCTGTTTTTATGTGCTGATAAAGACATACCCGAGACTGGACAATTTACAAAAGAAAGAGGTTGGGTTCCAAGATGGCCGAATAGGAACAGCTCCAGTCTACAGCTCCCAGCATGAGCGACACAGAAGACGAATGATTTCTGCATTTCCAACTGAGGTACCGGGTTCATCTCACTGGGGACTGTCGGACAGTGGGTGCAGTGCACCGAGTGTGAGCCGAAGCAGGGTGAGGCATCTCCTCACCTGGGAAGCGCAAGGGGTCAGGGAATTCCCTTTGCTAGCCAAGGAAGGGGGTGACAGATGGCACCTGGAAAATCGGGTCACTCCCACCCTAATACTGCGCTTTCCCAGTGGTCTTAGCAAACGGCACACCAGGAGATTATATCCCATGCATGGCTCAGGGGGTCCTACACCCACAGAGCCTCGCTCATTGCTAGCACAGCAGTCTGAGATCAAACTGCAAGGCAGCAGCGAGGCTGGCGGAGGGGCACCTGCCATTGCTGAGGCTTGAGTAGGTAAACAAAGCGGCCAGGAAGCTCGAACTGGGTGGAGCCCACCGCAGCTCAAGGAGGCCTGCCTGCCTCTGTAGACTCCACCTCTGGGGGCAGGGCATAGCCAAACAAAAGGCAGCAGAAACCTCTGCAGACTTAAGTGTCCCTGTCTGACAGCTTCGAAGACAGTAGTGGTTCTCCCAGCATGCAGCTTGAAATCTGAGAACGGACAGACTGCCTCCTCAAGTGGGTCCCTGACCCCTGAGTAGCCTAACTGGGAGGCAACCCCGAGTAGGGGCAGACTGACACCTCACATGGCCGGGTATTCCTCTGAGACAAAACCTCCAGAGGAACGATCAGGCAGCAACATTGTTCACCAATATTCACTGTTCTGCAGCCTCTGCTGCTGACACCCAGGCAAACAGGATCTAGAGTGGACGTCTGGCAAACTCCAACAGACCTGCAGCTGAGGGTTCTGACTATTAGAAGGAAAACTAACAAACAGAAAGGACATCCACACCAGAATCCCATCTGTACGTCACCATCATCAAAGACCAAACGTAGATAAATCCACAAAGATGGGGAAAAAACAGAACAGAAAAACTGAAAATTCTAAAAATCAGAGTGCCTCTCCTCCTCCAAAGGATCGCAGCTCCTCACCAGCAATGGAACAAAGCTGGAAGGAGAATCACTTTGACAAGTTGAGGGAAGAAGGCTTCAGATGATCAAACTTCTCCGAGCTAAAGGAGGAAGTTCGAACCCATGGCAAAGAAGTTAAAAACCTTGAAAAAAGATTAGACGAATGGCTAACTAGAATAACCAATGCAGAGAAGTCCCTAAAGGACCTGATGGAGCTGAAAACCATGGCACGAGAACTACATGACAAATGCACAAGCTTCAGTAGCCGATTCGATCAACTGGAAGAAAGTTTATCAGCGATGGAAGATCAAATGAATGAAATGATGCGAGAAGAGAAGTTTAGAGAAAAAAGAAGAAAAAGAAATGAACAAAGCCTCCAAGAAATATGGGACTATGTGAAAAGACCAAATCTACATCTGATTGGTGTACCTGAAAGTGACAGGGAGAATGGACCCAAGTTGGAAAACACTCTGCAGGATATTATCCAGGAGAACTTCCCCAATCTAGCAACGCAGGGCAACATTCAAATTCAGGAAATACAGAGAATGCCACAAAGATACTCCTCGAGAAGAGCAACTCCAAGACACATAATTGTCAGATTCACCAAAGTTGAAATGAAGGAAAAAATGTTAAGGGCAGCCAGAGAGAAAGGTCAGGTTACCCACAAAAGGAAGCCCATCAGACTAACAGCTGATCTCTTGGCAGAAACTCTACAAGCCAGAAGAGAGTGGGGGCCAATATTCAACATTCTTAAAGAAAAGAATTTTCAACCCAGAATTTCATATCCAGCCAAACTAAGCTTCATAAGTGAAGGAGAAATAAAATCCTTTACAGACAAGCAAATGCTGAGACATTTTGTCACCACCAGGCCTGCCCTACAAGAGCTCCTGAAGGAAGCACTAAACATGGAAAGGAACAACTGGTACCAGCCACTGCAAAAACATGCCAAATTGTAAAGACCATCAAGGCTAGGAAGAAACTGCATCAACTAACGAGCAAAATAACCAGCTAACATCATAATGACAGGATCAAATTCACACATAACAATATTAACCTTAAATGTAAATGGGCTAAATGCTCCAATTAAAAGACACAGACTGGCAAATTGGATAAAGAGTCAAGACCCATCAGTGTGCTGTATTCAGGAAACCCATCTCACGTGCAGAGACACACGTAGGCTCAAAATAAAGGGATGGAGGAAGATCTACCAAGAAAATGGAAAACGAAAAAAGACAGGGGTTGCAATCCTAGTCTCTGATAAAACAGACTTTCAACCAACAAAGATCAAAAGAGACAAAGAAGGCCATTACATAATGGTAAAGGGATCAATTCAACAAGAAGAGCTAACTATCCTAAATATATATGCACCCAATACAGGAGCACCGAGATTCATAAAACAAGTCCTTAGAGACCTACAAAGAGAATTAGACTCCCACACAATAATAATGGGAGACTTTAACACCCCACTGTCAACATTAGACAGATCGATGAGACAGAAAATTCACAAGGATATCCAGGAATTGAACTCAGCTCTGCACCAAGCAGACCTAATAGACATCTACGGAACTCTCCACCCCAAATCAACAGAATACACATTCTTCTCAGCACCACACTGCACTTATTCCAAAATTGACCACATAGTTGGAAGTAAAGCACTCCTCAGCAAATGTAAAAGAACAGAAATTATAACAAACTGTCTCTCAGACCACAGTGCAATTAAACTAGAACTCAGGATTAAGAAACTCACTCAAAACCATTCAACTACATGGAGACTGAGCAACCTGCCCCTGAATGACTACTGGGTACATAACAAAATGAAGGCAGAAATAAAGATGTTCTTTGAAACCAACGAGAGCAAAGACACAACATACCAGAATCTCTGGGACACATTTAAAGCAGTGTGTAGAGGGAAATATATAGCACTAAATGCCCACAAGAGAAAGCAAGAAAGATCTAAAATCGACACCGTAACATCACAATTAAAAGAACTAGGGAAGCAAGAGCAATCACATTCAAAAGCTAGCAGAAGGCAAGAAATAACTAAGATCAGAGAAGAACTGAAGGAAATAGAGACACAAAAAACCCTTGAAAAAATCAATGAATCCAGGAGCTGGTTTTTTGAAAAGATTAACAAAATTGATAGACTGCTAGCAAGACTAATAAAGAAGAAAAGAGAGAAGAATCAAATAGACGCAATAAAAAAATGATAAAGGGGATATCACCACCGATCCCACAGAAATACAAACTACCATCAGAGAATACTATAAACACTTCTATGCAAATGAACTTGAAAATCTAGAAGAAATGGATAAATTCTTTGAAACATACACCCTCCCAAGACTAAACCAGGAAGAAGTTGAATCTCTGAATAGACCAATAACAGGCTCTGCAATTGAGGCAATAATTAATAGCTTACCAACCAAAAAAAGTCCAGGACCAGATGGATTCACAGCCGAATTCTACCAGAGGTACAAGGAGGAGCTGGTACCATTCCTTCTGAAACTATTCCAATCAATAGAAAAAGAGGGAATCCTCCCTAACTCATTTCATGAGGCCAGCATCATCCTGATACCAAAGCCTGGCAGAGACACAACAAAAAAAGAGAATTTTATACCAATATCCCTGATGAACATCGATGCAAAAATCCTCAATAAAATACTGGCAAACCGAATCCAGCAGCACATCAAAAAGCTTATCCACCATGATCAAGTGGCCTTTATCCCTGGGATGCAAGGCTGGTTCAACATACACAAATCAATAAACGTAATCCAGCATATAGACAGAACCAATGACAAAAACCACATGATTATCTCAATAGATGCAGAAAAGGCCTTTGACAAAATTCAACAGCCCTTCATGCTAAAAACTCTCAATAAACTAGGTATTGATGGGACACATCTCAAAATAATAAGAGCTATCTATGACAAACCCACAGCCAATATCATACTGAATGGGCAAAAACTGGAAGCATTCCCTTTGAAAACTGGCACAAGACAGGGATGCCCTCTCTCACCACTCCTATTCAACATAGTGTTGGAAGTTCTGGCCAGGGCAATCAGGCAGGAGAAGGAAATAAAGGGTATTCAATTAGGAAATGAGGAAGTCAATTTGTCCCTGTTTGCAGATGACAAGATTGTATATCTAGAAAACCCCATTGTCTCAGCCCAAAATCTCCTTAAGCTGATAAGCAACTTCAGCAAAGTCTCAGGATACAAAAATCAATGTGCAAAATTCACAAGCATTCTTATACACCAATAACAGACAAACAGAGAGCCAAATTATGAGTGAACTCCCATTCACAATTGCTTCAAAGAGAATAAAATACCTAGGAATCCAACTTACAAGGGATGTGAAGGACCTCTTCAAGGAGAACTACAAACCACTGCTCAAGGAAATAAAAGAGGATATAAACAAATGGAAGAACATTCCATGCTCATGGGTAGGAAGAATCAATATCATGAAAATGGCCATACTGCCCAAGGTAATTTATAGATTCAATGCCATCCCCATCAAGCTACCAATGACTTTCTTCACAGAATTGGAAAAAAACTACTTTAAAGAACTAAAAAAGAGTCTGCATTACCAAGTCAATCCTAAGCCAAAAGAACAAAGCTGGAGGCATCACGCTACCTGACTTAAAACTATACTACAAGGCTGCAGTAACCAAAACAGCATGGTACTGGTACCAAAACAGATATATAGACCAATGGAACAGAACGGAGCCCTCAGAAATAATGCCACATATCTACAACCATCTGATCTTTGACAAACCTGACAAAAACAAGAAATGGGGAAAGGATTCCCTATTTAATAAATGGTGCTGGGAAAACTGGCTAGCCATATATAGAAAGCTGAAACTGGATCCCTTCCTTACACCTTATACAAAAATTAATTCAAGATGGATTAAAGACTTAAATGTTAGATCTAAAACCATAAAAACCCTAGAAGAAAACCTAGGCAATACCATTCAGGACATAGGTGTGAGCAAGGACTTCATGTCTGAAATACCAAAAGCAATGGCAACAAAATCCAAAATTGACAAATGGGATCTAATTAAACTAAAGAGCTTCTGCACGGCAAAAGAAACTACCATCAGAGTGAACAGGCAACCTACAGAATGGGAGAAAATTTTTGCAATCTACTCATCTGACAAAGGGCTAATATCCAGAATCTACAAAGAACTCAAACAAATTCACAAGAAAAAAAACAACCCCATCAAAAAGTGGGTGAAGGATATGAACAGACACTTCTCAAAAGAAGACATTTATGAAGCCAAAAGACACATGAAAAAATGCTCATCATCACTGGCCATCAGAGAAATGCAAATCAAAACCACAATGAGATACCATCTCACACCAGTTAGAATGGTGATCATTAAAAAGTCAGGAAACAACAGGTGCTGGAGAGGATGTGGAGAAATAGGAACACTTTTACACTGTTGGTGGGACTGTAAACTAGTTCAACCATTGTGGAAGTCAGTGTGGTGATTCCTCAGGGATCTAGAACTAGAAATACCATTTGACCCAGCCATCCCATTACTGAGTATATACCCAAAGGATTATAAATCATGCTGCTATAAAGACACATGCACATGTATGTTTATTGTGGCACTATTCACAATAGCAAAGACTTGGAACCAACCCAAATGTCCAACAATGATAGACTGGATTAAGAAAATGTGGCACATATACACCATGGAATACTATGCAGCCATAAAAAATGGTGAGTTCATGTCCTTTATAGGGACATGGATGAAGCTGGAAACCATCATTCTCAGCAAACTATCGCAAGGACGAAAAACCAAACACCACATGTTCTCACTTATAGGTGGGAATTGAACAATGAGAACACTTGGACACAGGAAGGAGAACATCACACACCGGGGCCTGTTGTGGGGTGGGGGAAGGGGGAGGGATAGCATTAGGAGATATACCTAATGTAAATGATGAGTTAATGGATGCAGCACACCAACATGGCACATGTATTCATATGTAACAAACCTGCACGTTGTGCACATGTACCCTAAAACTTAAAGTATAATAATAAAAAAAAAAGAGGTTTAATTGGACTCACAGTTCCACGTGGCTGGGGAAGCCTCACAATCATGGTGGAAGGTGAGGAGGAGCAAAGTCACATCTTATGTGGATGGCAGCAGGCAAAGAGCAAGCTTGTGCAGAGAAACTCCTGTTTTTAAAACCATCAGATCTTATGAGACCCGTTCACTATCAAGAGAGCAGCATGGGAAAAACCCACCTCCATGATTCGATCATCTCCCACTGGGTCTCTCCCACAACATGTGGGAATTATGGGAGCTACAAGATGAGATTTGGGTGGGGACACAGAGCCAACCCATATCACCCTTTTAGATGAAAAGTTGTTTATACACCAATGACCCCTGGCTGCAGACATGGTATTGGGAATACACATGATAGCAGAATTTGGGGTTGTGATGACAGAAAACATAAAGAATGCTGAAGGTCAGAATATTTGGGTTCTATTTCCTTCTTTTCCACTTGTTAGCACTATCACAGGAAGCAAGAATCTTGATGTGCTTAACTCTAATTTTTCTCATCTCTCAACATGGAGAATAACACAATTTGCTTTATAGACCTCCAAGGAATGCAGTGAGGACAGGTCATGGGGGAAGATGAGGTGAGGGTGCTTTGCGAGGGGACTTTATAAACACAAGGTGTTGCTCCGTGCCTTGATGAGTGCCTGTGGAGCAACCAGGAGGCCAAGGGATTCCTGTGGAAAGAAAATTGAGGTGAGAAGGGGGGCCATCTAAGAGGACTTTGCTTTATCTCCATTGGTAGAATTTTAAGTAATGAGCATGTTTTAATAGATTACTTGTAATTTTAAAATGAAAGTGTACAGAAATAAAATAGGATGTTTTTTAAGGAAGATTAAATCAGTTATAGAAGTTTAATGTAAAAGAAGTAACTCATTTTTTCTTCCGCTGTAGTTCCACAATTCTTCATTATTCTGAAATCCAAAAAGTTTTGAAAGCAAAGACTTTTTTTCATACATTTTCAGCAAGCTTATTTGATCATAAAACATAATCTTCGCTAATGTGAGGCTAGTTTTTATTTCTGTACTTACACTTTTTGTAAATGTACACAGTGTTAACATGCTATGTAATATACAGGAACTAACTTTTGAAAATCTTAAAATTCTGATATACCAGATTTTATATAAGGAATGGTGCGTACCTGAATATGGATATTAAGTTCATGAATAAAACACATGCTCTAGTAGTTTTATTCAGGGTAAATTTATGAGCCAGTAGATTTATTCAGGCTAAATCTATGAGCCTCAGATCTGGTAATATTTTCGAGAGCATAATTCAGTACAACAAACATTTACTGAGCAGGTTCTGCTATGGTTTGCATGTTTGTCTCTTCTATTGAGATTACGTTGAAACTTAATCTCTAAGGTGGCAGTACTGAGAGGTGGGGCCTTTAAGAGGTTATTGGGTCATGAGGGCTCTGCCCTCATAAATGGGTTAATCCATTCATGGATTAATGGATCAGTGGGTTAATAGACTAATTGGGTTGTCATAGGAGCGGTACTGATGGCTTTATCAGAAGAAGAGAGATGTAAGCTAGCACACTCAGCCCCCTCACTACATGATGACTTGTGTTGCCTCGGGATTCTGCAGAGAGTCCCCACCAGCAAGAAGGCCCTCACCAGATGCAGCACCTTGACCTTAGACTTCTCAGCTTTTATAACTGTAAGAAATAAATTCCCTTTCTCTATAAATTACCCAGTTTCAGGTATTCTGTTATAAGCAACAGAAAATGGACTAAGTTTCTTTGTATGGGAATATAAAGACTAGCAAGTGGTGATTGCTGCTCCCAAGGAATTTGCATTGTAGTGGGGAAAACACTTCTATTTTAATTTAACACAAGGTATATTGAGTTCACTGCTGTAACAGGATGATAATCAGATCACAAAGATGGGTGAGAGCCCAGGGCCGGGCCCGGAAGGTGACGGAATCCATTCTGCATGCAGCAAGGAGGGAGAGAAGATTGTTTAAAGGCTCAATATTTTCAGTCCTTTTTCTTTCTAAATAGTACATTGTGTTGTTGACACTCTTTCTGTGAGCAGTAAGGGATCCTGTGGATTCAGCATTCCCCAAATATTCCCCAGGGTGATGAGACACACTGAAGGTGTAAAGATTGGGGGAACAGCGCCCGCCCAGTCATTCCAAACTATGGCGAGTCGATAGTCTTCCTTACCAGAGGTGGCGCTGTGGCAGAGAAGACTTAGTGCGGGGGTTCAGAAATGCCAGTTGCCCCTAAGCCCCATTTTGGGGGGTGGTTGATATTGAAATACATTGGTCTTAAAGCCACCAATAGAGTTGTGGATAGTGAAGAAAGACACTGATGATTAAAATGTAATTAAAACCAGTTTTTCCACTAACCCTATTTTGGCCAGACCAAGTGCTGAGATTTAATAAATAAGAGACCAGATAATTTTTTTTTTTATCTCTTGGTGCCTTATTTATATCCAGGGTGGCTTATGACTTTAGTGCTTCTATTATTGCCCGCCGCCCCTTCCTTCCTTCCTTCCGTTCATTCTTTCTTTCTTTCTTTCTTTCTTTCTCTCTCTCTCTCTTTCTTTCTTTCTTTCTTTCTTTCTTTCTTTCTTCTTTCTCTTTCTTCTTTCTTTCATTCTTTCTCTTCGTTTCTTTTTTCTTCTCTCTCATTTTCTTTCTCTCTCTCTTTCTTCTTTTTTCTTTTTGTTTTCTGTGGAATCTGCCTCTTTTTCTTTTATTTCCACTTTTATGATTACTAGAAAGCCATGGTTCCATAATATGGATATAATAGCATATCTGGGATGACCGTGACTCCAGAGCTGCAGGTAGAAACAGCTCCAGGTCATGTAAAGAAGGTGTGTGTCCTTTAATGGAAGATAATTTGAGCATTAAAAAAAAAAAATGTCCAGCCTTCCATCAAACACAGGAGAGCAGTTGCAGAATTAGCAGTCAGGAAACACTGTCTTTATGATCCATGACAACTTCAGTAGCTGTGTGGCATGCGTGAGCTCTGGTGGCCTAACTGAAAAGCCCTGGTGATTAGCAGTACAGCAGAGAGAAGTGCAAAGGAGTAACAGCACAATAGCATAGGCACTGGTTTAAATCTCAGCCTCCAGAGCTCCAAGTTGTGAAAGCTCTAACAGGAAAGGGCTGCAAACTCACATCGTTCCACGCAGAGGGAGCTGTGGCTCATGGCTCTGGGGAAAGCTAATGGCTCCTTGTCGTGACCATAATTTCATTGTAGTGGCAGTTGCCAAACCCAAAGAGAAAACGGAGAGGAGAACAACTTTTATGAAACTATTTCCTCTCAAACACACAAAACTTGTCAACTTAGTTAGAGCTGTATTCCTCCCAGGGGATGCCATCTTCTGGGCTGTCAAACCCATAACATTTGTGGGTGGCAAGATGATGTCATCTGTGTTCGGCAGCTTGTAGTAATTTCCACTGTGAGCCCTGCGCAGAGGTTGAGATGATTGCCATAAATGGGATCTAAGCTTACAGATGAAAGCCTCACTTTTCGTTTCCATTGAGTTCACAATACTCTTTAGCAGGATGACAATTGTGCTGTCGTCAACATTACATCATGCTATCTCCCTCGAAATGGCATCATTCAAGCGTGTGAGCACAGCTGTGAAAACAAAACAGATTTTGCTGTGAGCTTAGTAAATCCTCAAAGCACATTCTAATTGGTTTGCTTGTTTAAAAGTAATATCAAAAATATAATGTCAAAATTGTTGCTGCTGCAAGTGAGTCAGAGAGAAGTTCAGGAGCTCCGGAGGCCCTGAGAGATCAGGCGTGGGTGCTGTGACTGGGCCCTGTCAGTAGAGCCCCTGTCAGGAGTCTTGTTCCTGCGTGGAGGCCCAGTGTGAGCTTGGGTAGAAGTGCTCCTGACAGCCCATGGAGCAAACGCCGGCCTGCCATGCAAATTCCCCTTAGTCCACAAGGCTGGGGGGCACTTATATCACCAGCTGATAACTATGGGGGACCAAGTGATTATTTCCCAATCTGAAGACAACATTTACTATAACCACTATCAAGATCTGCAAGGCTGAGCACCTTTGACAATGAATAATTCCACATCTGGAGAAGCATCCCATCAAATAAATGTAACAACAGTATATAATAAGCAGATACTGTCAGCTCACAGTGCAAAGCAGAAGAAGCTTCCTGATGTTGGAATAAGTGTCAGCTGACAAGATGTTTCCTAGATGAACAGGAAAGGCTGACATGACTGACTGTGGATTAAAATGTGAACCAAAGGAAGGTTTACTTCCTTTATTCTACAAATGGCAAAAACTGCCTAACTCACAGAATGTGCCTAGTTGGTGGCTACCAGAAATGGCTTTACTATACTTTGTGTAAAAAGTGTGTCACTTGGACCTCTGAGACACATACTGGAGAGTCACCGGCAGA